>NC_000014.9:79005652-79157167 GCF_000001405.40 Homo sapiens | reverse complement strand
TCTAAGCATGTCCTGTCTCTAAGCAGAGAAGGAACCTTTACTAAAGGACAAAGCAACAACAATAACATGACCACCAGCAACAATGGCAGATACCAATTAACACCAAAATAAGCAGAAAAGTATCACAAGTTGAGGTAATCTCTAGCTGTGGTTAACCAGAGTAATGTTACAAAGTCTGGAAATACCTTTTATTGTCACAACTTGGGGGATGCTCTGGGCATTTAGTGGATAGAGCCCAAGAATGCTGCTATACATTCTACCATGCAGAGGACAGCCATTCACAATGAAGAAGTATATGACCCACTATGTCAGCAGTGCTGAGGTTAAGAAATTCTGCCATAAAAAGAAGTAGAAATGGGAGTGAGATTAATTACACTAGCATGGTAAGCTACTAGTGGAAGTCATTGCTGCCAATTCCAAACAAAGTCTTCTTTACTTGGATTCTGTAGACTTCTGGAATTTTTCATTTTTCTCTGGCTCTAAGACATCTCTCAGAACCTCAGTCTAAAATTTGTCTTCACAGTCTTCTTAATAAAATAGGATTCTGTTAAGGAAGTAAAGCAATACACTAGGAGGAAGAAACATTGAGCATTCATTTTTAAAATGAAAAAAAAATCCAGAATGGTCATTAAAAGGCTTTTGTCATTGTTTATTTTTGTTTATTTGTTTAACCTTGCTTCCTGAACAGCAATCCAAATTGTAAAATTTCATTTTCCAATGGTACAGGAGTTTCTGATTGTCACTCTTAATTTGTGACATAGACCATAAACATACTTTTCAAAAAATAATGAAATATAGCCTCTTATCATTATTAGTAATACTTTTTTAAGTAATAAGATTATTTCAGGAAAGGTTAAGATTGCAGGTGCCAGATCAGATTGCCTGACATGCTAGCTGTGTGATCACAGCAAACTAAGAAATTGCTCTAAGACTTATTTTTCACATCTGTAAAACGGTTACTCTAATAGCATTTACTTTATGGAGCAGTTGTGAGGGTTGAAGTAGAGTATCCGTGTAAAGCACTTCTTCTGGGATCTGAATAAATAATCATTTAGTAGTTTCTTGTTGTGATGGTTGTTTTATTATCTATAATGGAAACTTTGGTTTAAAGAAGTTAAGTCCCTTATTACTTCAATGAAGAAGTGAGGGAAGAGAGAGATTTTTAAAATAAATGTAAAAGATATAACTTCCCAGAAATTTAGGTTATATTGTTGAAAACATCTATGTATAAAAGTAAAATCTCTACAATCAAAATAGATGATGACCCCAATGTTTATGACTATGTTTTTGATACATTAAATGATTTGAAGTCATAATGAAAAAATACACTGAATCATTCCAAATTATACTTATGCAAAATTATTAACTTTTAAGTTTTCTTTTGCTCTTTATTTCCTCAGAGAGAAAATAAGCACTTATATATCTTTAAAAGCCTTTTTAAAATCTGCCAATCTCCTTTATTTTTTTTAAATGAGGACTAATTCTTGTCTTTTGTCAGGCTATAATACATAGCTAAAATATAACAACATAATTTGTTCTTAAAGCTTTTATTTTTACAATTATTTTTATTTATGAGAAGTAATACCGACTTTTCATTTACTTTAGAATTATATATTTTGCTTTCAAAATAAATATATTTAAGTAAAATAAATCAACTTAAAGAAGACTATTAAGTAAATAACAGTGCAAGTGATGAGTGAATACTACAAAAACGGTGAAGGTGGTATTCATATGTCACAGGGATAGGAAATACTGTGCAATGACAATACCGTACCTTTTTCATGACTCATCTTTGAATGAGTATCTAAATCATGTCAATTACATAGGTTCTTATATAATCTACATTTTATCTATCATTTTGTTTAATATGTTACTAACAAATACAGATGTGATGTATTATATCCAAAAGCTAAATGTATTTTAAGGCTTGAGAGTTTCTTGTGATTGGTCCTTTCATTCTGAAACACATAGCTTTATATTTCTCTTCTCCAGCTTCAGGAGGATGCTCCACCATTGATGAAGGAAGGGTCAAGAGTGAAGAAGGGATGCTCCATGTGGCAATGTGACACCAATTTTCCACGACGGGGAGGAAAAAGTCCAGTAGTTGACAATGAATAGGATGCCACAACCTCTTGAGTGAAAGGTAACCTGTATGGTGGACTCTCAATCTCTGTATACTCATAAGAGATCCACAGGGGAACATAAAGAGAGAAGTAAAATGTGTTCAGAAGTTTAAGATTCTCCAAGGTTTAAGCTGGTCAGTTGATCAGTCAAAGGATGAAGATTCAGTTTTACAAGACAAGAATTAAGAAGTTTTACTTACATATACGAAGTTGCATTGGATTACGTTTCATTACCATAAAAATAGTCATAAGACTATCAAGTAGTTTAATGATAATGTAGTCTATATTGTGTTCTGTAACCTTTACACAGCTTGTGCCTGAATTGCTCCTTTGAATCGTCACAAAGTCTCATGATATAGGCAGGGCAGATATGATGGGAATTTTTTCAGTTGAGAAAACTGCAGTCTAGAGAGGTTAAATGAGGCCCAGAAAGGCCAAGCCACATATCAAAATACCTACAATAGCCTGGCAGGTATATAAATGTGTGAATAAGCTTACCATAATAAAACAGGGAATGATGGGGCTTGAGGCAAAATTTGAGAACATATGACCCAGCAAAAAGCATTACAATTCTAAAGGCTTAAAAAAACATGTTGCCAAACAGTACATGTTTGTGGGGGAAGATTTCACTCTCAGAAAACCAAATCACTCTTTCTTGTAGTCAGTGAAACTAGTCTCCTCTTCTGACTTTTTCAGCTCAACTGAATTCTGTGAATAGCTATTCAAATCTTTCTCTATGTCATAGTCTCTGCCCTCCAAGTGTTTAAAATGTGATTGGGCATTGACAACATGGCTATCAGGTGTGATTATGTGGGTTGCACCTTGAGCACCTCTAGAAGAGAGAAGCCATTCACATTGCAAGCTAAGTGAATTGAGTTGGGCAGTGCTCAATACACAATGGCCCCCAACTACCCTGGTTGGTTATATTCCTGGTATATAAGAAAATTAAGTAAAGTAAAAGTCATAAAAGAGTAGTAAGTGCTAGAAAAGCCAAAAGGAAAGAGTTTGCAGGCTATTGGCGAGTTCCATGCTCTTCGCTCTTTGGGCAATGACTAATCCTGCGTGACCCTGCTTCTTCCATAAAGCCCCAGGCAATGCAAGGAGTGTCATATGGACTTCTGTGAGCATCTGTGAGGATGCTACTCCTTCCAAATCTGGATTTCTTAGCTTCACAGTCATTTTGTTCTTTCACCTTCTTCTCTTCTGGGTTCCTACCAAGCCTGGACTTCTGCATTTCAAATACTGGATAAATTTAAAAAATGCATTAAGGAGAATGGGTTGGGGAAGGAACAAGCTCTGATAAATTACCAACGAGTCATTTATTATGATATCCTCATGAAGAGAAAAAAGAGGTCTACTCAGGAAAAATGTTAGAGATCTTTAGCTGTATGTTCTCCTGAGAAACCTTCATAAAAGAAGACTCAGTGGTGAGCAGCCCTGGGTTTACGGTCTTCTCAGGATAACATTTCAGTAAAGGTGATTGAGATATATCAGTTTAAAGGGCCCAGGACAAGAAACTTGTGGGCTCACTGACATATTAAGCATTTATTCAGTAGCTCAATGGGTGGATCAAATGTAAGGTTAGGAATGTTCTGCTCTGATTGCCTAGGAGTTTCTTTCTCTCTCTTTCTCTCTCTCAAATAAAAAGAGGAAATGCTTGTCTTTTAAGTATTCTGCTTCTCTTCCACATATGCATATATAATCATATTCCTAAAATTACCATATTCCCTTTTCAAATAAAGGAAGAAAACCTAGCTTGAATTTTAAGAAATCTTTTATGAAAATGGATAAATGTTTTGAAAATAGCTGTGTTTAACAGCTTTAGACAGATACATTGCAGTTAGGCTGATACAGGTCAGTTGGTAGGTCTCATGTTGGGGAGATAATCAGTTTTAAGATGAGTTTTTCCGGAAAATCAAAACTGCCTTGGAAGCTCATTCTCCACCTCCTTGCCCATCCTTCCCAAATCAGGAAACATTTCCTATCCTATTACAATAGTTATCAGTTGGCTTCCTTAATCTCATTGTTTTGTGAACCCTAGATTTTTAGGTTACTGAAACAGAGGGAAGTGAAAAATGGTTTAGCAGTGACCAAGAATAAAATGCAAGCCCACAGGTGTCATTTCAGGGTCTCCTAACTGTCCTCAACTCATGAGATTGACATTACACTTTTTAAGTAAAGTTTCCACAATTGCCTTTTCTTCACAAACACATAAAATTGTGTGTGCCTCTGATATGGTTTGGCTGTGTCTTCACCCAAATCTCACCTTGAATTGTAATAATCCTTACATGTCAAGGGTGGGGTCAGGGTGAGATAACTTAATTGTGGGAGTGATTTCCCCCATACCAATCTCATGATAGTGAATAAGTCTCAAGATATCTGATGGTTTTATAAACAGCAGTTCCCCTACACAAGCTCTCTTGCCTGCTGCTATGTAAGACATGTCTTGCTTCTCCTCCACCTTCTGCCATGATTAAGAGGCCTCCCCAGCCACATGGAACTGTGAGTTAATTAAACCTCTTTCCTTTATAAATTACCGAGTTTTGGATATGTCTTTATTAGCAGTGTGAGAACAGACTAATATAGCATCTGCATTTGAATGCATGTGTCAATGGTGGGGAGTAGCGTATGTCATCATAGACTGCCAGTAACTCCAAGCCAATTCAAAACAAATCCACTTTGATGAACTCCATTTTGTTTTCATTTAGTTATCAAATTAATACTATGCACCTATTCTGCAAAGGGATTTTAAAGGTGCAAATAACAAGATAGTGAGATGCAAGATAGTTGTTTCTGGTTTCTAACTAGTTGACTGCAGATAAAATGCAAAAGCATTCTATCGCTGTCCTCCCAGTTCTTCTCAAAATGCTCAGTAAATGATTGTTGAGTGAAAGAAGGAAAGAAGAAACAGCACGGTGTCTGTAGAAACACTGTTCAATATAGCAAGTGGCTCAGAGTTGAAAATAGACCCAAGTACACAATATGGTAAAGCAAAAGTGTCTGTAGAAAAAAACTGGGGATGAAATATGTCTAATTGTTAGCACATCACTTCTGGGAGGATGACAGTAATGACTTTACATATTTTATTTTCTTTACTTGCCAATTTTAATATCATGGAAATATGTTATAGTATGAAAATATAAAACACTATTTTTAAAAGAAAATAAAGTATATTGACTTAAAAATTGCAAATTAGAAAATTAGTGTGGCATAAATTCATTGAAAACATATTGTAGGGATTTAGATTTAGTCTGTGCACTCTGGGACAATTGTCTCAGCAACTAAGAGGCTGCTGACACATCACGGTGTCTAGATCTACCCCAAAAGTGGACAAATAGGTGAGATTCCCATTATCAGAGTCTGGAAATCTCAGATTCTCAGAGGCTGACTTCCTTGAGGCCCTGTTCATTTGAGCTCCTAATTTGAGCTGGCCATTGGTTAGGCTGCTTTCTTTTATCTCAGCTCCTTGAGCAATGAATCCAGTTTCCAGGACAGCACCAAGTCCAAGGACCATGTGGATCATGGAACAACTCCAGTTGATTCGTGGCATCAATCAGTATTGGCAGGAACCTCCTGCCCCTGTTCTGATGGAACGATGAGTGGCGTTCTGTTCTGAATCAAAGATGCTCCCTGCCATACTTGCTATGGTTTTTGCAGCTGGAGGCTCACCTCTGTTCTGGGACTCACCCCCAAGAATGTTCTTTGCAGGGAATTGTAAATAATTATAGGAACTTCAGCAAGTATACAATAGGAGCCTGTATGTTTTTGGAAGTCTTGAGGCTTTACCATTTCTAATCTGAAGATTTACCTCACCCACCAAAGGCAAAATGGTATCCCTTGTGGAGTAATAGAGGCTTAATATCCTGGCACTTTCTACTGGGGATAAATCAAATTTCAACATCAATCAATCAGGCCCCAGTTCACCCCTTTGTGATACAATTTTTAATAAATGCATGTCTTCTGTTAGTTAGTATCAAGACCTAAAATTCTTTCAGAGCCTGATCATATTTTTAAACAAAAGGACTTTCAGAAGGATACATTCTCTTTTCATGGAGACAAGAAGACCCTCGAAAACTAGTTCCATTTAATTTTGTGTATGCAGGCAACATCACCTGTCACATGTACTGCTGCACTGGACCTTTGGACTTCTGCTGAATTGCTGGCTCCAATAATGGCTGCCATGCAGCTTCTGCCTTCATTTAAGTGACCATTGGTTTCAAATCATTTTGATTTTTGAGTAAAGTTTTAAATTGTATAACTGATTTGGTTTGCCTTCTTGGAGTTTATTCTGGTGTTACTTAATGAAGCTGTAATTTCTTTTTCTTTTTTTTTTTTTATTTATCTAATTGGGTTAATGGTATCTGCAGAGAAGTAGCAGCTCTTATTTTTAGCTTATGTGGTGGATCTCCTACTGGGAGGTCTGATCTTCTCAGTAGCCAGGTCAGATGGCAACCATGCATGGAAGGTGGAGAAGTGAACTAAAGCTGGAAGTGTGAAGGGGTGGCTTGGGTTAGAATGCAAGGAACTCTTGCTCCTTTCTCTGCAGATCTCTGTTTGGGAACATGCACAGAAATTAGCTGAGGGTGTTAGTCACATCTCTCACCCTATTTCTGCCAAGTTTCTCTATCTGTACCCACCCCACACACATATGACATACTTTTCTACTGCTGGTGAAGGTGGTGGGGAAGAGAGGTGGGGGTGGGGGCGGAGACAGCTATAGGCAACCACCAGAGTGAGAAATGCACAATTTTAACTATTCATTCCATTTCAAAAGTTGGACACATCCTTGCTTAATATAGAAGCTGATCTCCCCCATCTGGCAATAGGGATCAGTAAGAAAAATTTTGAGTGAATTCAGAAGTGTCCATATACACACTGGAACCCATAATTTGTGATGTGGATAGTCCATAGTCATTTTCAACCACATGCAAGGGCAAGACTTAGAATGGAACATGTTAGACATGCTTGCCTGTGTTCTGTGTGAGAACACTTTTGCTTAAAAAAAAACAGTGGGGAAAGTAATGTGTCATTTTATTTTAAGTTCCACGGTACATGTGCAGGATGTGCAGGTTTGTTACACAGGTGAACGTGTGCCATGGTGGTTTGCTGCACCTATCAACCCATCACCTAGGTATTAAGCCCAGCATGCATTAGCTATTTTTCCTGATGCTCTCCTCCTCCCCTCCCCATGACTGGCCCCACTGTTTGTTATTCCCCTCCCTGTGCCCATGTGTTCTCATTGTTCAGCTCCCACTTACAAGTAAGAACATGTGGTATTTGGTTTTCTGTTCCTGCGTTGGTTTGCTGAGGATAATGGCTTCCAGCTCCTTCCACGTCCCTGCAAAGGACATGATCTCATTCCTTTTTATGTCTGTATAGTATTCCATGGTGTATATGTACCACATTTTCTTTGTCCAGTCTATCATTGATGGGCATTTGGGTTGATTCCATGTCTTTACTATTGTGAATAGTGCCACAATGAATATACGCATGCATGTCTCTTTATAACAGAATGATTTATATTCCTTTGGGTATATACTCAGTAATGTCATAGAGCACTTGATTTTTTCTGAAAGATACAAGGAACAAATAATCACCTATGCTTTCAATCAATTTTCTTCCAAATAATAAGTCAGAGTCCCAAGAAAACTAGTGCTTTCTCAAGCCTACCTTCTCTTTTCTGTTAGCCTTTGAATTACAATTTGAAAAAAAAAAAAATCCCCCTATCCAGGATGCTGACACCAACAAATAGCTATGGAATGGTGATGCCAGGTCAAAGGTCAGTGCAGACTGGGTTTCAACGTGAAGATCTGACCTTTGGACTTTGGAAATGATCTGGCTTCCCTCGCATCCCCACATTCCCCCTTACAGAGTTTCCTACCAGTTCTTGTGTTGCTGATCTCCCAAGATTTTTATGAGAATTACATGAAGTAATATTTACTGAAACACTTGTAAAATGGTAGTGCATAAAATACTCATGTGAGGTTTTCACCCTCTTATGCATCAAAGGACAGGGAACATATTGAGGAGAATGTGGGGATGGAAAAAAAGATGTTAGGATTCTCACTGCTTACTTTTAAGGTAATAGCTTCTGTACTTCTCATTTGGATATGGTGGACTTTAAGGGCAAAAATAAACAAACTAATTTGGGCTTTCCACAAAAAAGAATAAGAAAGGCATGGGAAAAAAACACTCTTTAAAGGGAGGATTTGTGGAGAAAAGGAGAAGAATGCTAAGAAATTAGTAAGGCAGTCCAGGGGTTATATGTGGAAGGGGCCAGAGAATGTTTATTAAATTGGCATCTGGATGATTGCAAGGAAAGCTATTTTAATCTCAATCTAGGGAAAGAACTGAGGCCTAGGCAGGCCTTAATTTCCCCAGGATCCAAGGGAGATGAGAAAATCAGTTCTGTTTTTAATTCGCAGGCTGAGTATGTCCACAAAGGAAGGCAGTGAAAGTGAACCATGTTCTTATGAAGTCAGCAGAAAGAAGATGAGGGACAAGGGACTGGGTTCTGCTTTGAGCTACTTGGCATCAATTTAACAATGTGTCCAACAGGCTCATGAGGGCCTATAGAGCTAGAAGTGCAAACACATCCCTACTCCCGAGTCTGAAATAATCTTACAATACAACAGCAGCTTGGCTCTGTATCTGATTTATCAGCAAGCTAAGTTCTTTCCCACCTCAGGCCTTTGCTCTAGCTGTCTCAGCTTCTGGGAGCATGCCTCCCTAGATCTGTGAATGGTTGGCTCTTTTCAATCATTCACAACACTGTTTAACTCTCATCTCTGCAGAGTGGGCTACCATGAACCCTCTGAGCTTCCAGTAAACCCTCCTCCCATCCAGTCACTCTTAAACAATTTTATACCACTAACTTATCTGTTCACTTGCTTACTGTTTCCTCCTTCCTAAAATGAAAGTTCCATAAAAGGAGGGGCCCTGCATATTTTTTTTCACCATCCAGAATTTAGAACGGTGACCAGAATACATGAATTTTTATACGTATGATTCTGTCATGAATAAATGAGGAGAAGGTCACTGCTGGAGACAGGAAAGTAGAAGGACCACAAATTCCAGAAATCTGGGCTTTAAAAAAGACCTCCCCATCCACCTACTTTTCCCATTTTCAGCGCAGTGGCAAGAGGAAGCTTTCTAGTTAGGAGAAAAAACTGCATAGAGAGCTGTCACCTTGGGAAATGATTTAGGTGAAGTTTCTCAGAGTCCACTTTAAAGGACTTCGATTCTTATAGTAAAGGTGGCATCTGGAAAGCAACGATGCCTTGCTGCCTGCATCCATCCCTGGTCACTTCAAAAAGGACCCCACTGTTGCCTGCCTCCTGAATATGGACAATGAGAAGCATTTGATACAAAACAAAATATGCCTCTGCTTGTGAAGGCTTCTGGACAAAGTTGGAGGGGGTCTTGCCTCTTGATTTGGTTTGAAAGGTATTCGTTAACTAAGTGCTAAAAGAGAAAAGATTCCTAACAATCACTCTTCACAAGAAACTAGGTTCCTCAAGTATAGAAGCTTATTCTCTCCTATCTTAAATGGGCGAAATTAAATAGGGCACTGAGGCAATGAGGCTTTCCCAAGATCGCCCACTTCCAGCATCCATCCCTGCGATCTACAAGGCGCTACTTCCACCTCCTTGCGAAACATGACATGCAGTCACTTGACTATTAAGTTATTCCTCATTTGTCAACAGAAAAGCTGCTAAATTGCTACTCTGAGAAAATTTACATAGAAATTACCAATGATACTCAGCAAATGAAGAAAGGAATTTACAACAGAGAGGAGCATAAGCATTCAACGTCAGCTCTCCCCGGAGCTGCTGGCTTCTGCACACAGCAGTCACTGCAGGGTTAAGAGAAAGGAGAAGAAACTTTGACTGGGAAACAGAAAAATTAATTGGTCAGTGATCTCCTTCTTTTCTCTCACCCTCTTACACCCATTTGGATGTCTTTTAAATCTGACCTGCTAACATGCTGGTCTTTTTCATCCCCCTCATACATCTTTCTGCTGTTCCCCCTCCCACCTGATAGAAGAGACTCTGCTCTTAATTAGAACTTCAAGCCCATCACCAAAGGTTAATTGCTCAGTTGTTGCTGCTCTCCTCAGTCTCAGCAGTTGCTGGTGTTCACTGGTGTTCAACTTATGGCCACATTCAGTTAAGAGTAGGGGGAGGAACCTCCCCCAGAGTTCATAAGGGCCAAGGCTGCCTCTCTTCCTTCTGCAAATGTCCTTCTCCTTTCCTTCCGAGAGCTCCCTCTTAGATTCAGACAGGGCTTTCCTGAAGCTTTGCCCAAGGAGATGGATTCTGCTTTGCTGTCCTAAATTACTCTCTCCTTCCAAGATTAGACTGCGGCCTTGGTTTACCTGGGCAGTGGTTTTGCTGTCTATGTAGGATTTGTGATGCACGCTCTTTTCTCCAGGCTCTTTAAGACCTGCGTTCTAAAGCCTATCAGACCTCATGGTTGTCACTCTTTTTTTCAAGTCCACTCCTGACAACTCTACACTCCAGGAGAGTGAAGTTCCTTCCTTCCATGCTATCTTATCAGATATTATAACTTTATCTAAAATGAAAATAAAGCTGAACATTCCATTCTCATATCCTTGAATTTGTCATGTTACTATCCTACCTAGAACACCCTCTTCTCCTCCCATACATACACTCAAGTCCAGAGGATTCCTTAAGAGCCTTGGTGTTGTGTTGTCTTACCAACTTGATGCTAGAGCCACAAGGCAGGACCATGCCTTGTAATTTCATAATTTTCTGTAGTGGTTAAGAGCACAGGCTCTGGAGTTCATCTTGAATCTATTGCTTATTCACTGTGAGACAACATGAGAGCTACTTGATTTCTCTGAATCCTACTTCCTTCATCAGCAAAAATGGGGACTATTGGGACTTACATAACAAGGCTATGAGGATTAAATGCAATAATGCTTGTAAAATAATTACCACAATAAAAGCGCAATAAATTAGGCAGCTTATTATGGAAAAAACACAGATTTTAGAGCCATGAAGAGCTGGTTTGGAATTGTGCCTCTGTTGTTTATTAGCTGTGTGAACTTGAATCAGTTAAGTAACACCTCTGTGCCTCAATTTCTTTATCTACAATATTTGGAAAAGGTTTCACTAGTTTATAGAGGTAACTAGAACCATGAAGGTATTAATAAATCTTGGATGTCTTTCCTCTATCCTCTTGCCAATTATTTCAAGGAAAAGTTTGGGACTATACAACAGAATGATACTCATGCTTACTTATTATACAATGCAATAGGTATATAAGTGTGATCCCATCTAATATCAAATGAGTCCCTTTTAATTTTCTCTTATTGCAAGGAGTACCAAGGAATTAATTGGGAGTTGTGCATTGAAAGAGAAGTATCATAGAACAATTGCAAAGGTAAAGATTCCAGATTATCCTTTTGAGGAAGACCTGTCTGGCTGCTCCTAGGAGCATTTGAGGCTGGTATAAAAACAATATCTTATATAAATGTATCTGTGTAGGCTCTACAACGGCTCATTAAATACTCTCCACAGTACTTCATAGGATCCCAACATTTATAACAGTCTGTCACTCTGGGGTAAAAAAATAGCACCTTTACTATCTATTCTGAGTATCAAAAGTGGACTAGAGATTGTAGAACTAAGTGAGATATGACTTTCGGTCTCTGGTACTAAAGTTAGGTCTGAAGTCTTCCAATAAAAATGTTTCAAGACAAAAAGGAGTAAAGAAAGGTTATTTTTAAGTGGCTCAGGGAAATTTTGCAAAGAGATCAAAAGATGTAAAATTTCAGTTATATACTTTACCTAAATAATCACATATGAACTGAGACTTCATACAGATTAAGGCACATGGTTGCCTTATGTATCTCAATGACTGTACTAAGCGTGCACATAATACTCAGGAAAACTCTAAAATCGCGCCCCTTGATGAGCAGACAGGGCTTTCCATTTAAATGATTCATCTAAAGAGTCTCCCACACAGGAAATTGCATGAGACTTAATTCATTTACCTAAAAAGGATAAAGGATTGACTCTAGCCAAGGAGAATTCAAACATCAATTCTCCAGGTTTTATGACAAAAATTTCTAATAACCTAATTTTTAGATCATAAGTCCATTAACTCTTGCTAAGATTTTCAAAAAAAAGAGGAAGAAACAGAATGAGAGAAAGAAAGAGGAGAGAATGATGGAAAGAAGGAAGAAATAGAGGGAAGAAAAAAGAAGGAAGAAAGAAGGATGGAGAGATATAAAGAGGGAAGAAGAAAGAGAATAAACAACCAAGAAGATACCATATTTCTAGTTCAGGATAAACGTGAAGTCATTAGAACTAAAGTGGTCAAGAAAATGTTACGCTTCCAAGATTGGCATGAGAGGCGACCATTTCACAAGAAGCATTACTGACTTTGTACATTGACAACATCTTCACTGGCCAAAACTTAATGAAAAATCTTTATACCACAAATTGCCTCATAGAGCAAGGCTACCCAGACAAGAGGCATGATGGTTCAGAGCATGATGGGTGGTAAACAATATATTGGCAAGCATCATATTTTGGGTAAGATTTCTGCTTCTAAGATGATTTAGGGAGACATTCTAGAAGTACTACAAACAAGTACATTTGTTCCTTGTCCATTCCAATCTCAGGAGACATGCATCCGAGTTTTTTGCAAGGTAGGAATTCATCTTCTAGCAAAGCAGAGTTGCACTAAAAACCTTTAGCAAGGCATTCAACCTCAAGTCTTTTGGGAGCTAGGAACTTAAATGTGTGAATTTGGCCAGCCATTGTACAATGGGCATGGTGGGGACTGTGTTGAAGTAGAAAAGACTTGCCAACATAATTTCTATGTTGTCCAAATACGTATTATCAGGGCTAGATTTTGTCTGAGGGGATGCTAGTTTGCAATTTCTGCAAGATAAAATGAATCCAACTTTTGTCAACGGGACGGATGAGTGTCCCACAACGTAAGTGCCTTCTTGGCTATTTCTAACAATGAAGTGTTTTCTACTACTATAAACATCAGGTAAACATTATTCTATCTTTTTGCCTTCACTCCACCTTTATGAGTTTAAATTTGTTTTCTTTCAACACAGAAAGCATGGGACGACTGTAATATTTAAGGGGCTTATAGAAAAGTTTTAAAAAAAATCTGCTTACTCCCTGTCTGGAGGGTACTTCAGTAGAAACACACAACTGCACACAGAAATATTTGCAAGTTTTCATGCACCTATATCTAGCTAATATAAATAATCACACAGGGAGAAAAAATATTACTTTT
Source organism: Homo sapiens (assembly GCF_000001405.40). Lineage (NCBI taxonomy): Eukaryota > Metazoa > Chordata > Mammalia > Primates > Hominidae > Homo > Homo sapiens. Next base: position 79,143,758 of record NC_000014.9, on the reverse strand, counting down.
TGAAAGCTAACCAAAACCTTTGTATCAAATGTCTCCAAAATGGAAGGTAATTTCCCTCTAAAGAGTGAGCAAAGCCATTATGACTCCTCTGAGCTTCCAGATCTTAAAGCAATCAGCCAGATCATATTTATTCTGCAGTATAGACAAAAGTCTACCTTCTGTCATGGGGAAGAAAATGAATTGTTTTCCCATAATGGTGTTTTCTTTTCAATCAATTTCCCTTCAAGCTTGATTTAAGAAGGTACCATGTCAGAACCTTAGCCTGGTGGATGAAATCTGGGACAGTTCCCCACCAAAGGTGAAAATTATGAGACAGGCAAGCCTGGAGAGTTCAATCTAGATGCTGCAATGCCCCCTCCTCCTTTTCACTGACTTTCTTTTTCTCTCTTGTCAGCTAGAAGTGTTTGCAGCACTGCAAAAAGCTTACAGGAGCCAACATAAAAAGACTGAGCTAAAACAAAGAATTGAAACAGAGATAGGAAAATCCTCCAAGCATTTATTCCTATAACTATATATAGATTTAAATTCAATCTAATTCATCAAATATGTGCTGAGTTCTACCCTGTTGGGAATCAGGGTGCTGGGTTTGCAAAGGATGAATGAGAAAGGCTTGACTGTTTTTGCCCTCAAGGACCTTACAGTTAAGTAAGATAAAAACAGAACCCTATGAAAATACAGTGCAGAGGGCTGCCGTAACTGCTTTTATATGAAGATACAAGATATATTATTGTAAAACAAGATGGCAAATAAATAGATGATATTTTCGTAATTAAATCTAATCTTTATTGAGAAGAGGAGCTTAATATATTTCCCTTAGTTATGGCTACAGTTATCAACCCATCTATCCAAGTTAATCTTCTGCCTCCTCCCTTGCACTTATTCTGTATATTTCATCCAGTGCCAAGTTCCACTGAGCAAATCCACAATATTTTTCTGGAATTTGCTCTCTTTTCCCCACCTCCATGGCCACTTCTTCAATCTCATTCCTCATCATTTCTCTCCTGAAATTGTGAAGAGTTTGGCTGCAGTCTCAACCCTAGCCATTTGTCCACCCCATGGCTGTCAGGGTTATCTAAGTCATACATCTGGTCATGGCATAGTTCTCTCTGACACGATCTATTGCAGCTCAAATGCTACCAAATTATCTCCAACTTCTTAACCTGGCATGCATGCCACTTCACAGGTTGCCAACAGCCACTCTTGCCACTCACCCAATTCAACCATATTGGATCATTGTTTTTTTAATATTCATATCTTTGCTCAAATGTCCCCCTCAGTCTGACAGGGGTCACTCTATCTCCAGCTTCTGTCTGCCCTTTACTTTTTTTTTTTTGAAACGGAGTCTCACTATGTCTCCCAGGCTGGGGTGCAGTGGCGCCATCTCGGCTCACTGCAACGTCTGCCTCCCGGGTTCAAGCAATTCTCCTGCCTCAGCCTCCGGACTAGCTGGGAATACAGGTGCCCGCCACCACACCTGGCTACTTTTTGTATTTTTAGTAGAGATGAGGTTTCACCATGTTGGCCAGGCTGGTCTTGTATCCCGACTTTGTGACCCGTCCACCTCGGCTTCCTAAAGTGTTGGAATTACAAGCGTGAGCCACCGTGCCTGGCCTGTCTGCCCTTTTCAATGGACAAATCTCTATTCATCATTTTATACTCAATTCAAATGGCACCCTCACTTGGGGGCTTTCCGTGAACCCCCCAAAAGAATCTCATTGCTTTTTCATTGTGCTCACACAGTACTTTATATGTACTTCATCATATGGTCTTATGGATATTTTGATGGCTGAGATTCTCAATAGAAGCTGATGGTGGCTGAAAATTAAGTCAAGAGTGATTGATTTGTTTATGACATTTTCATAAAATTGCACTTAATGGAATATACCGAATATATACAGAAGTTTGAGGCCACCAACAGAGGCTATTTAGAACCACAGTTCAGCTGTCACTTCAGGTAAAATGTGTTTATAATTTTTAAATAAATACATGGCCTTTGCATTATGACAAGGCACAGGTTTAAAACCAGGGAGAAGAGACAAGACAGAAGTGGTATCTCCTTTATTTTCTCAGGATGGTTTCAGAAAACAAGAATAACTAACTACTTTTAAATGTTGATACTGAGGAGCAATCACTGGCCTAAAAGACTGGAGTTCTTAGTTCAAGTACCTATAATATTGTTCACTGATCCTGAGCCAAAGAGAAGTCAGGTAACCTCTTCACCTCCATTAGTCTCAGTGTTCTTTTAATAAAATGCAGATTCAATTATTTGCCCTCAATATATCAAGGAAACGTGGTAAGGATCAAAGTGTGATAACTATAGCAGCTTACATTTATCAACTGCTTACAAGGAGCCAGACACAGGGCTAAGCACATTCCATGAATAATCTAATTTATTAGTGACATTAAGGATGATAGATAACATGTGATATGGACAAGGGGACAATCCTTCATAGAAAAGAAGGAAAGGAAAACTAAGGTGCTTGTGATAAGTAGGTACAATCTACTTTCAAATCAATGGAGACAGCTTGACCTTTCTTGACTATTCCACTGGTTGTAGAAGTCCACCACTGGCATGAGCTGTGTTGTCATATCATTTATTACTACGCCCAACACACTCAGGAATAAATGGCCAATTAAAGGCACCAACTAAATTTGAAAAAGACACCTGTTCCATTTGATAAGTAAGACTGCTACACCTTATATCAGTTTGCTAATTTTTCTTTTACCACTCAATGTTTCTCTTACTTGAATGTGTTTGTTTTTAAAATATGTACCTAAATATATACAGATATACTATACAAAATATATATACATTTGTATTGTGTATGTGTGTTTCTATGTGTTTGTATGTTTATTCAGGACACACAAGAATCCACCTGTTGAAAGGCTAGGCATTAAGGGCAAGTTAAGGCATTCTAAAAGTGGTAGTAATAAGGACAAGGTTTTGTTTATTGAAACTAGCTGTCCAAGGTAGAGGGAAAGGAAGGAAATGGCCTAAAAGAGGAAAAGGGCCAAAAGTAAACATTTCTTGTATTCCTATATGTTTTCCATACTTGTGCCTCCTTCTTATACAGTAGTTTTTATTTAGGTGACTTGAGCTTACATGGATTTTTTGGTAACAAACCACTATTAAAGATCATTTAACTTCACACACACACACACACACACACACACACACACACACAGTGAGGTGGGGTGATAATAACAATTGCAACATGGCGCTCTTATGATTTAAAAAAATCATTATCCACTTATACTCAGGAGGTATAATGGGGGTGAACCAACATTAAGAAAAGTCCTAGTGATTCTAACCTCATTGGAAGGTATTTTGCTGGGTACAGAGGTAAACAGCTTACATCTCTCCTTGCTCACAAACGGCAAGAAAAAGGCCATGTTTTCAAAATCTCTCAAATCCCATATAACAGTCTCTCAAACGTAGGTATGTAAGGATAGTGTGTTAAAATTTGAACTAGCTCAAATCAAAGTTCTCCAGTTCATGTAAGCACCATATGACCAAACCAAGAATCTATCAGTAATTTTTCCAGTTTTGTTAGAGAATGTGCAAGAATTATTTTCCCAAGGTGTTTTCATGGCCTGTTTGCTATCTCCAATCCAAGCAGTGTGAAGAGATAGAAATTAATAGATAATGAAACAAATGGGTTTGGTTCGAATGACAATTTTATTGTCTTCAAAAATGACAACAAATACAGCGTTCCAAATGAACAAAATAATTTTTTCATATCATTTCCTGTGTTTCTGTTGCCAGTTTTATATATACATATACATTATATACATATATATCTCATATATATGTATATATGCCATGTATATGATATATATATATATATATGCATATGCCATTTGTATAAGCCATATTTCCAAGAAAGCCTTTGAGCATGTGATCCTGGCAGCATTTAATTTTAAAGGTGGAGTTAAATTCAGATTATGACTTGAAATCATAGTAATACTGATTTTTTGTTTTGATTTTGAAGGTGAGTCAGATTTATGTCTAAAAAGTCTCAGGACATTTGGTATGCATTACTGGAAATTCTCAGGAATTTAATCACCAATTAAGAACTTTCAAAAATAATGTGAAAGTTGCAACATTATCAGATAGAGAATAAAGACATATATGGTCAATGTAGGGCTTTAGTGACACACTCGCAGCAAGTCAGAGATGTTTTCTAGATATTCATTAGATATCTGTGAAGTTACAGGACAGGTGTAATATTGTAGCCTTATACCTTTGTTACTAAGTATGATAGGATAATATTTTATTTATTAATTTAATATTTATAAGTGAAACCCATAAATCTCATATGGATGGTGTTATTTACTAGGACTGACTTCCTTTTCTTATAACCGAATATATCAAGTAACAACATGCATGCATATATGCAGGCCTAGATACACAGGTCTCTGTTGACTTGCTAACCAAGAGAAATCCTGAAGTCTTCTGTGACAAGATAGTACTGCATCATAAAAAGTCCAAATGACACTATGTCTTTAATTTTTAAAAGGCATTAGATGATCCCATTCATGGAGACCAGTCATCACACACCCACCATTCAAAGTAGATCCAGGAGCAAATATTACTGGACACTTAAAATGCTCCAATGTTCTTATTTCAAATCTGTCATTACTCATTCAAAGGCACAATTCAGGCAGCACTGACAAAGCCATTGGCCTTGAAGGTGAAAAAGTATGAAATTGCAGGGATGAAAAGAACTTTGAAAAGACAGGTGCATCACCTGCAAATTTTTCATTAAATTACCCCTCACATAGAGGTTGCCCTCTCTTGTGGAAATCCATCCCCATCTCCTCCATAATAGCTTTGTCTAATTTCTTCTGCTTTGGGAGCAACTCAATGGCTTTGCTCATTCACACTGACTTTTGTATCCTGTTTTCTGAAGAAAAAAATAGGCAATGTTTTAAGATTGAATTCTTGAATTGCTGTTTTGCAACACAAATTTTGGCTCATTTTTCAGATCATCTTCATATATCAAGAACTATTTTTAGCCTGATGTTTCAGGCAAGTTCTCATTTCAGTCATTACCTTCTGCCTAAGTTCCCTAGTGATTTTAACAAGATATGCAGTCATTCACTTTCTGTCCAATAATTTTGTCTGATAATTTATGACTTTGGTCAGGCCTTGGTACTATAAATCCTAATTAGGCATTGGCCATAATGATTAGCCTACAAAGTTTCACACTTCTGCTATCCCCTATCTTCAAGAGTCATTGCACTTCACAGTGACTTATTTTCAATGATTCTAGTGCCTTTCAGAACATACATGTCTGATACTTGTAAAAATATGCAATAACACCTCTCATCCTAGCACTTTGGGAAGCCAAGGTGGAGGGATCACTTGTGCCCAAGAGTTAGAAAGCAGTCTGGGCAATACAGTGAGACCTTGTCCATACCAAACTTAAAAGGCATTAGCCAGGCATGGTGGCACATGCCTGTGGTCCCAGCTACTCAGGAGGATGAGGCGTAAGGATCATGAGCCTGGAAGGTCAAGGCTGCAGTGAGCTATTATCATGCTACTATACTTCAGCCTGGGTGACAGAGCAAAACCCTGTCACTAATAAAAATGAAATAAAATAAGATGAAAATACAATATATCCAAGTTTGATTCCTGTTCCCATGTCCTATTCAAAGAACATTGTAATGCCATTTAAAAAATCATTTATTGTTTTTTTCAAAGTATTTGCTTAGCAAAGCATTTTCTTTCTGAGAAATGCTATCTTATTGCTTTCTACAAAAGGATTCAGGAGGTATTTTCCTAGCATAACACGTGCCATAGGTACAGATGGGCCTTCTCCAATGACAATGAAACGCCAAAGCCAGCTTCCTAATGGAAAAGCTTTTATGGTCCCTTTCTGACCTAATCTTTGGAGGGACTTTAATTATTCCTCGTCCTGTCCTATACCCTAATATCAGAGAAAAAAACATATGCCAGGAAGTAGAAAAATGCAAAAGAAAAAATATGATTTTAAATATGAATTAAATAGCTCTGTCATTTTTTAAGCTATGATATCCTGGTAAAAGGTCTAAGCCTTACTATCTTTATCCAGGAAATGGGTAATGAATAAATATTCAAAAAGGCATTTGTAGAAGAACAAGAGAAAATAAAGGCACTACTATAAAACTGTAATGTACCATAGGAATCTGAATTATTTTATTAGACTCAATTTATATAACCCTAAACTTATTTTATTACTCACTCTTTACAAGTGGCTGGATTTTAATATTGTTTGAAGGGCTCTGCATGATTGCCCACAATTCTAGACATTGTTTATGTCTCAGGTTTTTAGGCGGGGTGTATGTGTATGTGTGCGTGTTGGGGCAGTGTGCATCACTTTTCATAATTGATTCACACCAAAATGCTAGCTTTCAAGAGGCAGTGAAATGTAGGCAGTAGCTGTTTCAACAGTACACAGTTACTCTGATGACAAGCAAATTTTCTGCAGGAACAGAACACTCTCCTGTCACCTTCCTCCAGCTGAAGGCCAAAATACTTTAGAAATAACAGATGGCATGAAGCTGGGACCTAACTGAAGATCTACCTATTGAGACAGCAGCAAATGCCTGCAAACTCCAGTGTAAGGCTCTCCTCTCCGAGCAGGCAGCATGCAGAATCCAGGACATATAGAAACAAAAGAATCTTATTTCTTATTTGGTTGGGGGAGTATTTTCTACCCATTCTTAGAATTTCATGGTCCTCAAATGGCCCCAAGGGGTAAAAGGTGATTAAAGTGAAATGATGAGAACATAGCCCTGCCAAAGCTTTCCAGAATGAGAATTCTGTGGTTGTTCCATGGATGCCTCCTGTAGTTTTCTGAGCTCTTTTCCATATCCCAATTCCTGGCATTTCAGAAAAGTATGGATGACTAAGCTTTGGAAGCAAGGCTCTATAGTTTTCCATTGTTGTGGTTTGTGTTTTACAGTGTTCGTTTTTGCCTTTATATCCTTAAGAATTCCTTTTCTATTCTTGCCAAGTAAAGTACTGGCAGTCCCTGGGGAACATAAGATTGACTCTAACGTTTGTATTTATGAAGCTCATTTTCTCCTTTCACCAGGCACACCAGCATGCTGCACAGACCTTGGCCCCATTGTGAGAGGAGCAGGCCGGGACTTAGCAATTGTCAGCTGTGAATGTAATGAATTTGTGATTCACTGGGTCCTGTTCTCCAAATCCTATTATCTTTTAATCCATTCAGCTTCTCCTAATGGATTTCCTCTTCTAACTTGCAAATTACTTTGGGAAACAGAGAAGTAGAGGAGAAGAACAAACCGTATCACTTATTCATTTTGAGTGTATATAAAGTTGGTCATTAACGGAAAAGGAAACAGGAGAAACTATGGATTATTTCTAGTTTAGTGGCAACAAAGTCTGCAGAGGACACTTTGAGCATAGGCTGACAGACCTTGATCTATGTCCTAGTCCTGTTTGGTTGAAAAATTTCTGGGAAAGGCAAGTGTGCCCTGTTTCAAAGAACATGAACGAATGTGTCTAGGGACTGTGGAATAAATTACGCCTTTAGGGAGTATCATAGAGGCCACTGACATAACCATAGGCACCAACCTTCAGTGATTTTATATGGGATATTACTAATTCCTAGGATTTATGCCTCTGGAAACCCAGCCCATTGGCTTGGAAACAAAGACTTTTCTCTTGCTTTGTGACTATAAATTTAACTCTGGACAGCAGTTGGTGAGTGTACCCTTGGCAAAAAAGAAAGACAAAGTCAATCAGATACTACCTGATTTTTAAAAAGGAGAAAAAGAAGAAAAGTGTTGGATAATTACAAGGAAGCAGGATAGTACACTAGAAATAGCACTGGTTTTAAACATAGCTGTAGTTTCATGTCAAGGCTCAGTCAACAATGAGCTGTGTGATCTTAGAAAACTGACATGCCTTCTCTGAACCTCTCTCTTTCCTCATAAAGTACCCATCTCATAGGAATGAAAAGAAATAATTTATGTAGAGTGCCTGCCCAATAATTAGCTATCATTTGAATTATCTCTGCAAATGATAACTGATTATTATTCAGATCTTTGCTCCTTTAACAGCCACTTATTTGGTTTAATAATTCAAATGAGAGTCAACAACTGTCCTCTTGATGTTAAAAACTATCTTTTGTAAGGGGGAGAGAGATACTGTGGATTGTCAAGAAACCCCTCTTAGTGGTCTATGTTACTCCTATACGTGAACCTGGGCATTCACATCAAAGTCAGCTTGAAAGTTACCTTGGGGTATTGCTTAGCAAGCCCATAGAGGACAGGGATAGTAGGACCACTGTTGGTTTATATTGGGCCATCTTTCTTCATATCTATGTGTTTATTTTTCAAAACTCTTTAGGAGAGGTACCTAGGATTTATTCAAGTAATTATTGTGAAATATATATATTTATATGAAAGAGAGAGGGAGAGAAACTATGAAAGGGAGAGGTTCTATGACTTTTTCAGAGTCAAAATCTTGGAGGTGAAACCATAAGTCATCTTTCTTATTCCCAGGCTCTGCATTTGTTTGTGAGGTTACACACACCATCATGCCACATACAAATAAACAGATCCTTTGAATAACTATGATCAGAGAAAATTTGCTCTAAACTAAAATATTTTAGTCAAGATGTGTCTCATTCCATATCATGTACCTCCCATATTCCTTTCTATTCTGTTATTTAAACATATACAAGAGAGAGTAAAAATTATCAGTGGTGTTTTAGCCTTAGTGGCAAAAAATATTCACTAAGCATTCTAAAGGAAATAGTTTTATATTAGTTCTAACCTTGGTCAGCAGTGAAAGGCAGGGATTTGGTAAACTAGTGAAATAAATGAAATTTCAAATTTTTCACATACATACAAAATATTTGATATTATATCAACAGCCAAAGAGAAGCTACAATAGAGAATCAGTCTGGGAAAGACAGAAAGCAAGATTTTGTTCTTCGTTCTGCTAATGGACAACTTGAAGCAAGACAACAAACCTCTTGAAACTCAGCTGAATTATCTCTAAAATAGAGATAATGGGATTACTCCTTTATATTTTCCTCAAAAGGATAATTTGAAAATGAAGAAAAAAATTGACAAAGTGCCTGGAATTTTCTGGACACAAGCAACACAGAGTTCAAGTCGCTGCTGATTTTCTAAAGTCTCAAAGCAGCTGCTGCTTCTCTATGGCAATGAGAAGCATAGCATTATGTAACACTGCAACTTCCCCAATGGTCTAGCTCTAAAAAGAGTGCCAGTGAAAGTCCTCGGTTAGCCTCAGTCCAAAACATTGACATGCCTTTGTTCTTTCTTTTAACTGAAATTAAATTGCTGCCTGAAGAACTAAGGATATATTTAGAAGATAGTCTCTTACCATTTTTTTTGTCTTCGTTCAAGTTTCCTAATTGAGAATCATATTCCATAACATTACACAGCAGTGTAAAGAATTGGGAACACAGAAAGGCAGACTATAGGGAAAAATAAAGTCTTAATCTTTCTTAGCTTTCCCATATTACCTGTTGACAAGTACCCTTTCTGCCTGCTGAGAATAGGTGGCTGTCCTCCCATTCCATTCAGATATTCCCTTTCAAATGGACCACAGGTACCACTTACACTTAACTTATTAATTTTTGGGGATGGGGTCAATATTTCAGTTTCTTCACCACTAAGGGGTGAGAGGAAAATGTCATAAATTTGAAGGCACACAAGCATTCTCTGAAGATGGAGATACGGAATGAGGACACCACTGGTTGTCACACATATTTACTCCTTCAGTAAATAACGTATTTGTTCAGTTTCTTTTTTCTTTCCTTTTTTTTTTTTTTCTTTTTTTTGAGATGGAATCTTGCTCTGTCGCCCAAGCTGGAGTGCAGCAGCACGATCTCTGCTCACTGCAAGCTCCACCTCCTGGGTTCACGCCATTCTCCTGCCTCAGCCTCCCGAGTAGCTGGGACTACAGGCGCCCACCACCACGCCCACCTAATTTTTTTTTTGTATTTTTAGTAGAGACAGGATTTCACCATGTTAGCCAGGATAGTCTCGATCCCCTGACCTCGTGATCCACCCGCCTCGGCCTCCCAAAGTGCTGGGATTACAGGCATGAGCCACCGTGCTGGGCTGTATTTGTTTAGTTTCTAATATAAACCAATCTTGGAACAAGGCTTAAAGCATACATACATACTCAAACACATACACAATCTATACACATATATGTACCTTTACATATCCCTTGTCTTCAAAGAGATAACAGGTAGTAATGAGAGTTAAGCAGAAAAACACAAAAGCTCACTTACTTATGAACTTTCATAGATAAGAATAAAGTCTGACTAATGTCACCTGCCACCAAGAGAGAGCCTTGAATCTGGTCTCCAATTACGGCTGGGCTCAAGTCAGTCTGGTCTGGCCTTAAAAACCTAACATAAACTTCTAGAGGGGCCATGAAGGTAATGAAAGGAGCTAAGCCAGAGATGAAGGAAGAAAGGGAAACACACAATTCACACCATGGCCTAAGAGGACAGACTTAGCTTCAGCTACAAACAGGTATTAGCCAATGCATCTGATTAAAAACTGAAAAAGACAATAATCAATATCTTCATGGGAAATCTTCAACAAAAAATGTTAGTATAGTAGACACTGTAATGTGCTGCCCAGCTCACCCTGCAACTAAAGACTTACTGCCTGACCTGAGCTGCAAAGAGTGCTGTCCATAGACAGCCTTCAGCTGCCAGCGCCTTCAGGGTTGGCCTCAGACACAGAGCACCATCTTGCCTAAGATCATGCTCTTCCCAGAGTGACCCGCATTCAATGACCTGTTGATGATGGGGTAGAAAGACTTTGCCATCTTGGCCCAACTCAGGACAAACTGAAAGGTCATGTTAGTGTCAGAGCTCCTCGTGGGGTTAGCTGAGCCCATTGTTGGGCCTGCATCGCAGCTCAACTTCTCTCTGCTCAATCCTACTTCCTTCCCCAGGGAACTCCTTAAAAATTATGTGGCATGCTAAACTCAATCTCAGAGTCTGTTCCTAGGGAACTCAGCCTGTGACTATTAGCACCTGGTGGTTTCTTGTTTTGTTTTGCTTTTATTATTAATATGATGAAGACCAAATAAAGTTAATGTAAATTTGCATTATGTTGCCTAAGCTAATAAACGATCTAGGCCAACACAGTCCAAGAGGAATATAATGCAAAGCAAATATATAATTTTAAATTTTCTAGCAGCCACCCCAAAAAAGGAGAAATAGGTATAATTAACTTTAATAATATATTTAACTTAACCCAATATATTCAAAATATTACTTCAAAATGTGATCAAAATTTAAAATTGTAAATGTGCTATTTTACATCCTATTTCCCATATGAAGTCTTCAAAATTTGATGTGTATTTTATACTTACAGCACATCTCAATTCTGACACTGTTTTTACTAGAAATATTTTATCTGTATATACATTTCACAAAACTTACAACTGAAAAAGTAATTCATATATCCGAGTAGTTTCACACATACTTATGTCTTCCAGTGACTGAATTGAATATCAATTTTTAAAGTTAAGTTTAAGTTGGAGGAGCCAAGATGGCGGAATAGGAACAGCTCTGGTCTACAGCTCCCAGCGTGAGCAACGCAGAAGACGGGTAATTTCTGCATTTCCATCTGAGGTACCAGGTTCATCTCACTAGGGAGTGCCAGACAGTGCGCGCAGGTCAGTGGGTGCACGCACCGTGCGTGAGCTGAAGCAGGGCGAGGCATTGCCTCACTCGGGAAGCGCAAGGGGTCAGGGAGTTCCCTTTCCTAGTCAAAGAAAGGGGTGACAGACAGCACCTGGAAAATCGGGTCACTCCCACCCGAATACTGTGTTTTTCCGACAGGCTTAAAAAACGGCACACCAGGAGATTATATCCCACACCTGGCTCAGAGGGTCCTACGCCCACGGAGTCTCTCTGATTGCTAGCACAGCAGTCTGAGATCAAACTGCAAGGTGGCAGCAAGGCTGGGGGAGGGGCACTCGCCATTGCCCAGGCTTGCTTAGGTAAACAAAGCAGCCAGGAAGCTCCAACTGGGTGGAGCCAACCACAGCTCAAGGAGGCCTGCCTGCCTCTGTAGGCTCCACCTCTGGGGGCAGGGCACAGACAAACAAAAAGACAGCAGTAACCTCTGCAGACTTAAATGACCCTGTCTGACAGCTTGGAAGAGAGCAGTGGTTCTCCCAGCATGCAGCTAGAGATCTGAAAACGGGCAGACTGCCCCCTCAAATGGGTCCCTGACCCCTGACCCCCAAGCAGCCTAACTGGGAGGCACCCCCCAGCAGGGGCAGACTGACACCTCACACGGCTGGGTACTCCAACAGACCTGCAGCTGAGGGTCCTGTCTGTTAGAAGGAAAACTAACAAACAGAAAGGACATCCACACGAAAAACCCATCTGTACATCACCATCATCAAAGACCAAAAGTAGATAAAACCACAAAGATGGGGAAAAAACAGAGCAGAAAAACTGGAAACTCTAAAAAGCAGAGCACCTCTCCTCCTCCAAAGGAACGCAGTTCCTCACCAGCAATGGAACAAAGCTGGACGGAGAATGACTTTGATGAGCTGAGAGAAGAAGGCTTCAGACGATCAAATTACTCTGAGCTACGGGAGGAAATTCAAACCAAAGGCAAAGAAGTTGAAAACCTTGAAAAAGTTTAGAAGAATATATAACTAGAATAACCATTACAGAGAAGTTTTTAAAGGAGCTGATGGAGCTGAAAGCCAAGGCTCGAGAACTACGTGAAGAATGCAGAAGCCTCAGGAGCCGATGCGATCAACTGGAAGAAAGGGTATCAGCGATGGAAGATGAAGTGAATGAAATGAAGCGAGAAGGGAAGTTTAGAGAAAAAAGAATAAAAAGAAATGAGCAAAGCCTCCAAGAAATATGGGACTATGTGAAAAGACCAAATCTACGTCTGATTGGTGTACCTGAAAGTGACGGGGAGAATGGAACCAAGTTGGAAAACACTCTGCAGGATATTATCCAGGAAAACTTCCCCAATCTAGCAAGGCAGCCCAACGTTCAGATTCAGGAAATACAGAGAACGCCACAAAGGTACTCCTCGAGAAGAGCAACTCCAAGACACATAATTGTCAGATTCACCAAAGTTGAAATGATGGAAAAAATGTTAAGGGCAGCCAGAGAGAAAGGTCGGGTTACCCACAAAGGGAAGCCCATCAGACTAACAGCTGATCTCTCGGCAGAAACTCTACAAGCCAGAAGAGAGTGGGGGCCAATATTCAACATTCTTAAAGAAAAGAATTTTCAACCCAGAATTTCATATCCAGCCAAACTAAGCTTCATAAGTGAAGGAGAAATAAAATACGTTACAGACAAGCAAATGCTGAGAGATTTTGTCACCACCAGGCCTGCCCTAAAAGAGCTCCTGAAGGAAGTGCTAAACATGGAAAGGAACAACTGATACCAGCCGCTGCAAAATCATGCCAAAATGTAAAGACCATCGAGACTAGGAAGAAACTGCATCAACTAATGAACAAAATAACGAGCTAACATCATAATGACAGGATCAAATTCACACATAACAATATTAACTTTAAATGTAAATGGACTAAATGCTCCAATTAAAAGACACAGACTGGCAAATTGGATAAAGAGTCAAGACCCATCAGTGTGCTGTATTCAGGAAACCCATCTCACGTGCAGAGACACACATAGGCTCAAAATAATAGGATGAAGGAAGATCTACCAAGCAAATGGAAAACAAAAAAAGGCAGGGGTTGCAATCCTAGTCTCTGATAAAACAGACTTTAAACCAACAAAAATCAAAAGAGACAAAGAAGGCCATTACATAATGGTAAAGGGATCAATTCAACAAGAAGAGCTAACTATCCTAAATATATATGCACCCAATACAGGAGCACCCAGATTCATAAAGCAAGTCCTGAGTGACCTACAAAGAGACTTAGACTCCCACACAATAATAATGGGAGACTTTAACACCCCACTGTCAACATTAGACAGATCAACGAGACAGAAAGTCAACAAGGATACCCAGGAATTGAACTCAGCTCTGCACCAAGCGGACCTAATAGACATCTACAGAACTCTCCACCCCAAATCAACAGAATAGACATTTTTTTCAGCACCACACCACACCTATTCCAAAATTGACCACATACTTGGAAGTAAAGCTCTCCTCAGCAAATGTAAAAGAACAGAAATTATAACAAACTATCTCTCAGACCACAGTGCAATCAAACTAGAACTCAGGATTAAGAATCTCACTCAAAACCGCTCAACTACATGGAAACTGAACAATCTGCTCCTGAATGACTACTGGGTACATAACGAAATGAAGGCAGAAATAAACATGTTCTTTGAAACCAACGAGAACAAAGACACAACATACCAGAATCTCTGGGACGCATTCAAAGCAGTGTGTAGAGGGAAATTTATAGCACTAAATGCCCACAAGAGAAAGCAGGAAAGATCCAAAATTGACACCCTAACATCACAATTAAAAGAACTAGAAAAGCAAGAGCAAACACATTCAAAAGCTAGAAGAAGGCAAGAAATAACTAAAATCAGAGCAGAACTGAAGGAAATAGAGACACAAAAAACCCTCCAAAAAATTAATGAATCCAGGAGCTCGTTTTTTGAAAGGATCAACAAAATTGATAGACTGCTAGCAAGATTAATAAAGAAAAAAAGAGAGAAGAATCAAATAGACGCAATAAAAAATGATAAAGGGGATATCTCCACCGATCCCACAGAAATACAAACTACCATCAGAGAATACTACAAACACTTCTATGCAAATAAACTAGAAAATCTAGAAGAAATGGATAAATTCCTCGACACATACACTCTCCCAAGACTAAACCAGGAAGAAGTTGAATCTCTGAATAGACCAATAACAGGAGCTGAAATTGTGGCAATAATCAATAGCTTACCAACCAAAAAGAGTCCAGGACCAGATGGATTCACAGCCGAATTCTACCAGAGGTACAAGGAGGAATTGGTACCATTCCTTCTGAAACTATTCCAATCAATAGAAAAAGAGGGAATCCTCCCTAACTCATTTTATGAGGCCAGCATCATCCTGATACCAAAGCCCAGCAGAGACACAATCAAAAAAGAGAATTTTAGACCAATATCCTTGATGAACATTGATGCAAAAATCCTCAATAAAATACTGGCAAACCGAATCCAGCAGCACATCAAAAAGCTTATCCACCATGATCAAGTGGGCTTCATCCCTGGGATACAAGGCTGGTTCAATATACACAAATCAATAAATGTAATCCAGCATATAAACAGAACCAAAGACAAAAACCACATGATTATCTCAATAGATGCAGAAAAGGCCTTTGACAAAATTCAACAACGCTTCATGCTAAAAACTCTCAATAAATTAGGTATTGATGGGACGTATCTCAAAATAATAAGAGCTATCTATGACAAACCCACAGCCAATATCATACTGAATGGGCAAAAACTGGAAGCATTCCCTTTGAAAACTGGCACAAGACAGGGATGCCCTCTCTCACCACTCCTATTCAACATAGTGTTGGAAGTTCTGGCCAGGGCAATTAGGCAGGAGAAGGAAATAAAGGGTATTCAATTAGGAAAAGAGGAAGTCAAATTGTCCCTGTTTGCAGATGACATGATTGTATATCTAGAAAACCCCACTGTCTCAGCCCAAAATCTCCTTCAGCTGATAAGCAACTTCAGCAAAGTCTCAGGATACAAAATCAATGTACAAAAATCACAAGCATTCTTATACACCAACAACAGACAAACAGAGAGCCAAATCATGAGTGAACTCCCATTCACAATTGCTTCAAAGAGAATAAAATACTTAGGAATCCAACTTACAAGGGATGTGAAGGACCTCTTCAAGGAGAACTACAAACCACTGCTCAAGGAAATAAAAGAGGATACAAACAAATGGAAGAACATTCCATGCTCATCGGTAGGAAGAATCAATATCGTGAAAATGGCCATACTGCCCAAGGTAATTTACAGATTCAATACCATCCCCATAAAGCTACCAATGACTTTCTTCACAGAATTGGAAAAAACTACTTTAAAGTTCATATGGAACCAAAAAAGAGCCTGCATCGCCAAGTCAATCCTAAGCCAAAAGAACAAAGCTGGAGGCATCACACTACCTGACTTCAAACTATACTACAAGCCTAAGGTAACCAAAACAGCATGGTACTGGTACCAAAACAGAGTTATAGATCAATGGAACAGAACAGAGCCCTCAGAAATAACGCCGCATATCTACAACTATCTGATTTTTGACAAACCTGAGAAAAACAAGCAATGGGGAAAGGATTCCCTGTTTAATAAATGGTGCTGGGAAAACTGGCTAGCCATATGTAGAAAGCTGAAACTGGATCCCTTCCTTACACCTTATACAAAAATCAATTCAAGATGGATTAAAGACTTAAACGTTAGAACTAAAACCATAAAAACCCTAGAAGAAAACCTAGGTATTACCATTCAGGACATAGGCATGGGTGAGGACTTCATGTCTAAAACACCAAAAGCAATGGCAACCAAAGCCAAAATTGACAAATGGGATCTAATTAAACTAAAGAGCTTCTGCACAGCAAAAGAAACTACGATCAGAGTGAACGGGCAACCCACAAAATGGGAGAAAATTTTCGCAACCTACTCATCTGACAAAGGGCTAATATCCAGAATCTACAATGAACTCAAACAAATTTACAAGAAAAAAACAAACAATCCCATCAAAAAGTGGGCAAAGGACATGAACAGACACTTCTCAAAAGAAGACATTTATGCAGCCAAAAAACACATGAAAAAATGCTCACCATCACTGGCCAACAGAGAAATGCAAATCAAAACCACAATGAGATACCATCTCACACCAGTTACAATGGCAATCATTAAAAAGTCAGGAAACAACAGGTGCTGGAGAGGATGTGGAGAAATAGGAAGACTTTTACACTGTTGGTGGGACTGTAAACTAGTTCAACCATTGTGGAAGTCAGTGTGGCGATTCCTCAGGGATCCAGAACTAGAAATACCATTTGACCCAGCCATCCCATTACTGGGTATATACCCAAAGGACTATAAATCATGCTGCTATAAAGACACATGCACACGTATGTTTATTGCGGCATTATTCACAACAGCAAAGACTTGGAACCAACCCAAATGTCCAACAATGATAGACTGGATTAAGAAAATGTGGCACACATAGACCATGGAACACTATGCAGCCATAAAAAATGATGAGTTCATGTCCTTTGTAGGGACATGGATGAAATTGGAAATCATCATTCTCAGTAAACTATCGCAAGAACAAAAAACCAAACACCGCATATTCTCACTCATAGGTGGGAATTGAACAATGAGAACACATGGACACAGGAAGGGGAACATCACACTCTGGGGACGGTCGTGGGGTGGGGCGGGGGGGAGGGATAGCATTGGGAGATATACCTAATGCTAGATGACGAGTTAGTGGGTGCAGCGCACCAGCACGGCACATGTATACATAGGTAACTAACCTGCACATTGTGCACATGTACCCTAAAACTTAAAGTATAATAATAATAAATTTAAAAAAATAAATAAATGCTCTGAACTATGGAAAAAAAAAGTTTAAGTTAATTAAAATTAGACTGACTTAAAAATCCAGTTAAGTTTTTCAGTCACCCTAACCACAGAGGCCTCTGTGTTCAATTTTTTAGGTACTTTGTGAACATTTTGAATGCTGTGATGTCCAATCAGTGCAAAAGCAATGAGTAAGATAACTGAAAAAATAGTTCTGTTAATAATGAGAACAAAGTAGAAAACATGCTTTTAACGAAAGGAGTTGCATAAGCGTATGAAATAATTTATTTGGCAATAAGAAAAATTCTGAGTAAGTATACATCATGCAGTGTATAAAAGTACGGTGTCATTGCAGTTGACAATCATCAGCGAGAGATGAAAAAGACGAGCAAAAAAAGAGGAAATGAAAAAATACGTTTACTTGGTCAACCAGAAGACTGACATCAGCACAAGATGTTACTGGGCTAAGACTAATTCAGGAGAAGGCTAAGAGTAAAGTATATAGAGGCCAAGCATAGTGAAAGGGGTGCTGATGACAATCTTGTTGCAAGATGTGGTTGAGTCCATATTCGAGGGCTATTTAAGACTGCATTGCAACAATCCAGTGGTGAAGTGTGAGAGCAGGAACTGGAGTTGTCTAAGCAGGTGCTTACCTATGCACAAAAATCATGAAGGGAGGAGAATGCTTCCTGCAAAAGTTGTTGTTCAATAAAGACAAGATGGCCTATTTCCCATCAGTCCATCCAATGAACAACTATCTGTTGAGTACCTGTTGTTTCCCCACAGGTTTCAAAGTGCTGGAGGTGTACTACTGAACAAGGTAGGTGGAACTATTGTCCATAATTTCTTTCATTCTAGTGAGGAAAGCTCACAGCTAAATACAGAAGATAATTTTATACACTAATAAGTGCTAAGAAAATGGCAAAAGGACATTATGATAGAACGTGACAGGGATCAGTTATAGTGGTCAGAAATGGCCTAAGAAGGAGATGTTGAGTCGAGATCTAGAAGATGAAAAGGGACAGCCAGATGAAGATCTGGGGAAAGAGTGTGCCAAGTAGTGTATTTGTAATAGTTTAAGTACGTAAATAATTTAAATGCTGATCACCAAATGTAAAGCCTTCTATGTACATATGTATAAACACATTACAAAAACATGTACAAAATGTACAAAACAAATATACAAAAACATTAGCCTGAACTGCAGTGTTTTCTTGAATAATGTAATTATAGCTTGCTTTCTAGGAACTGCATGTAATTCAGATATTCCTATGAGAATGTACTCTGTGTGAGAAAAAAAAACAGCTATTTTATCTGTCTCAGCAAAAAATTTAGAGAATCATTGCTGAAATTTGAAGTTTTCACATGCTTATAAACTTATAAACTTATACATTGATTAATACCCTGCAGTCTTAGCCTACCTCTAGAGTCATGTTCCAGGTATTACTTATATTTCTCCTTGGAAATTTCCCTCCAGACAGAAAACATGTTAAGGTGATCATACATCCCCTAAGAGTCCCTGTTTGCCTGGGGAAGTCCCACTGTGTGTTTATTATACACTCACGTTTATTTAACAGTATCCTCTTGTGTTCTCCAAGGTGTCCTGGTTTGGAGATAAATGATGTGGTCACTCAAAATGACCACCGATTGTGCTGGGAGAGTAGAAGTTAATTCTCCCAGTAGATCTCACTGGCATGCAAGCACACACAGAAGACTCTGTACCATTACCTGTTCTCAACCAATTTCCATCTGTCAGAGATTAAATAATAAAGACTGTAAGCAAATGACATGGCTTACATTAAGGACCATGACCTGCTCTTAGCAGGGCAACATATTGTCTCTGAGTATTCCTATCCTCTCTCGTCTCCCTTACTGACCTTGCCAGCCAGAGAGCCTTTTGTTTTGATGATGCCTGAGAGCAGGCAATGAAGACTTCTGGTTTTTCTGGTCCTACATTTACCTCATTTCATTTAGCTTGATTTTACCTTTTGTTCCTCAGCTAAAGCAGCAAGGATGACTACTGGGGCATTATATTGAGCGCTGATGCAATCAATACTAGTTTCAAGTAACACAGAAAAGCCCCCAGACCTACATTAGAGCTGTGAGCAGAAGTTTTGATTGGCGTCAGGTGCTACATTTTTCAGACGCCAAGATTTGTTGCTCATTCGGTGGTGTGATATGGGATGGAGTGGGGAGGGATACAGCCATCCCATTACATTGATTAGAGTCTTAAGATACAACTTAGAAATGGTTAAAAACAAAGAGACGAATAAGCAGAGGGTGCTAAGGGTGAGAAAAACAATCTTCCAATGAGGCAAAACATTCTGGCTGTCTGGAATGCATCTTTCCCCAACCACAACTTTGCTTACCTGGCCTGCTCTGCTTATTCATGTATACAGTACTCCCACTTTAAGCGTAATCTCCACTGAAATGCTTTCCCTGACTTATATCCCAGCCTCCAAGATAGAGCTAAATCCTCCCTTCTGTCCATTTTCACATCCCCAGGTGTGTTCTCTTAGAAATTACAGCAAACATTTTCAATTATATATTTTATACACCTCTCTTTCCTCTAGATTTTAAGCTCCTTGAGAGGGGACAGTTTCTTATCCATCTCAATACTCTCAGTCCAGCCAGCTTGCATGCAGTAGTCAGTCAATAACTGTCCTCTGAATTTAATTGAAACCTACACACAATGATGCATTTTAGGTCCTATTTTTCAGGGAAGGAATGAATAACTGGATGAATTATAGTGCTATTATATGGATGTTTTATTATATAGCTATTTCCTAGCAGACATACCAGCTCTAAACTCTATGTGAGAGACTCAATTTAGGGGAAACAATGGAAATTGGAAAACTCATCTTGACAGTAAACATTGAGTTGAATAATGGACAGAGTGGGGGGCTCTTCCTTCCCAGGCTTGTGTGTGTGTGTGCGCGCACGCACACACGCGCGCACACACACACGCACACACAGCCATAGAAAATCATTTCATTGTAGCTCCATCTGGATGGACAGGAGTCAACCAGAGGCTTGGGCTTTTTCCATGAGGAGTCTACCCTCTAATTAGCATCCTACAAAACAGTGAATTGTTGCACACTCATTGTTCTTGCTGAGGTGATGGCATAAGCTGAAGATGAATTGAAAAATACTTTTTACTCTCTTAATTCTGAAGTTAATCACTAAAGATTATATTTTCATTACTTTCATGAAATTATTTAGAGTCACCTTTGGCCTCCAAAGAAAAACAGGAGTAAAATAGAGGTTTTCAAATTATAAAGCTGCTGTTTGAATCAAGTATGTATTTTTTAAAAAATAGATTTCAAAAAAGTCTCAGAATTTTACAGGTGAGAAACTTGAAGAGGTGAAGTGATTTGACCCTGACTGCGTAAAGCCTGGTGTGGGATCTGGCACGTAATAGGCACTTGGTAAAGATTTGTAAGAAAATAAAAGAATGTATACAAATGTATGAATAAATGAATGGGCAAACACAGCTAATAATTGGCAGGGCTGTGAGTTAAACCTAATCACTACATATTCCAAGTTAAGGCCTCTTTCTACTGTACCCACTTACACTAATACTGGGTCTGAATATCTTAACAGAGGTATTTATTTTTATTTAATATCCAAATAATATTAGAATGTCTTTTCAGAAAACGATTCCTAACTCTTCTACTTATGTATCCCATGTAGTATCTGGAAATGAGAGTGCTAATGGCATTAGCATTATATGGGACCATTAAAGCATCATTCCACTGAGAGGAAATTCTCCCACTATGTGTACATTGTTAATAGCACTGCCATTCTTTCCAAGTCAGCCAAAGTCAGAACATGCCTCTGGCCAGTTTCTTTCAGCCAAGCTTCCCTCAGCCTGCAGTGATGTGTAGGGATATCCTCAAAATGTCAGAGGACTCCCATCAATTCCTGTTTGCTGCTCATTAATCTGTTTCCTTAACCAGTGCCCCAAGCCCCTGGAAAACCTTCACGTTAACAACCACAGAGGAATTTTCTTTCTGCTTCTGTGCATGACCACCTGCACATATTTGTCAGCTATTCGTGGTCAAAACTTCTTCACCAGTACACAGAATGCATTGCAAGACAAAAAGAGCCGCAGTGGAATAAGTTGGCAAACAAAGGTAAAAGTGAATGATCATCCTCTGAGAAGATATTCAGCCAAGGTATTATAAGGCACAAAGTTTGTGGCATGGTGTGCTGAAGCTACAAAGTTAAAAACAAACAAACAAAAAAATACTAAATGTACATATACACACAGGTAGTCTGCATTTTGCTTGGTTGTAATATGCATGAATTTTAGTTACTATGGTTTGGTTCATAACTCCAGCCTTCTAACAACAGAGCTTAAATTTCTGTTTCTATGCTATATTAACTGTGGGTATTTGCACGAAGTGTATGTTTTGCTCTTAGTTCTTCAGTCCACATTAGCTACATGAATTACAGATGCACTTCGTGATCATTGACCAATCTCATGAGTTCTTGTGAAGTCTGTCAGTTAATGGTCACTGAACGTATTGCTCAGTTCACACACAGCATATAGGGTATTGCTTCTTTGTCTCCAAGTGATAAACCCATGTGCCATTTTATAAAACGAGATAATCAAAAGAGAATTGTCTAATAAAAAATAAAAAATGAAAATGTTTAGAGTGAAATTTAAGTTGGATATAAATGGAGCTATAGAAGAAATCGCATGGCAGTAAAAATGTTGAGACTATTGAAAAGAGAGGCTGCAAGGTATTCATGTAGCTACAAACTTCTTTCCAAAATTCAAATTTCATTCCTCACTTATTGGTAAGCCCTCATGCAGCTATCATTTATACCAGCAAAGAGCATATGGCTTTCTTGATTCATATCACATCAATGGGATCATGATCTCACAGTTTTATGACACACATATCAATGTGGCTGAAGGATTCTAGGGAGCAGGTGCTCTCAGTCGCCTTGAAAAGCCACATGGAATATAGTCCTGTTCTTCACTTGTGGATCAAATGTTCTTACAGTGATGACTCTAAAGCAGTGGAAAGCATTATTTGCTATAGCAATTGTGAGAAAGCTTTTCTTCTTTGTTTTGAAAGATCTATGGGCCCATATTCCCCTAGAATTGTATCTCCTCTTTGCTGCATTCCATCTGTAATGCTCAGAGTAGAGTGGTCATGAATAGAACTCAAGTGACAAGTCTTCTGCTGTTAATTTCCCCCCTAGAGAGCAATGCAATGAAGTAGAAATGTGATACAATAAGATTACTTAGAATCCTCCTCATTCTAAAGGGAAAGTATGGACACAAAAAGCAAAATATCTCCTACTTGTAAAGAGTAAGCAATTTTTGAGATTTTATTAATATGCTGTGTATGCAAGATTCACTATGTATGTTGAACAACACATAGTGCTATTTCCTGCTGGAACGGTTTCTTTAGTTATTTAAAAAATTTAACATCTTTGCATTCTCATTACAAAAATAAAATATGTTCAAAGAAGAAAAGGTGAATAATATAAAAAATTTAAAAAGGATAGTGAGGAGGATAAATCAATTTTAGAGTAGATACTTTCAGGCTTTTGTTTAGGGGCATATATGTACACATGGTGAATATATTCTCACACTCTCCCTGCTTTTCTATGGTTTGATTTTTCTATCAGCTTCTATTCTGAATATTCACTGATATTTATAGTATACTGACCAACTAGATAAGAATCATAAGCTGGTTTACATAGTGGCAATGAGCTTACAAGAAATTACCTAAAGTTATGCCCTTCTCATGGAACTCATGAGGAGTTCACACTTCTCAGTGTGAACTCATGACCTCTAAAAGAAATATATTTTTCAGCTTTGTTATTACTTAAAGTGCAGGTGCACCATGGCCACAATCAACACTCATTTGCACAAGGTTCTCTGGAATTTTGTTGATTTTCTGCTTAGCGGAAGAAAATAATTGCAAAGAATCTAAATTTTTTTTTATTGCAAAATACAAGTATGTGGCCACAAATATCAAATAAAGTGCTGAAAGAATAAGGAGCCCATTTAAAAGAGATCTCGCTGGCCATTTGATAATAATTTGAACACTAAATAAGATTGCTAACAACAACATCACTCTTCATTTTTACTGTTGATTAAAACAAGCTAAGTTTGTGAAAAAGTCATAGTGATGCTCAGAAAAGTTAATATACAGAATATTATTACATAAAACATAGTGGTAATATAAAATAAATATGAATACAATAGAGTATATTGAATTGTTATTGATTTCAATGATTAGGGGAATGCTAAAATATATGAACATGTATGTTTTAGTTTAGCTGTTACTTAGGTACTTGTTTACAAAGTAATAAAGTATAGGCATGGCCATGTTACTATTGGATAAGTAGAAAACAGTAAATAAAAATAACAGGAAATACATCAAACAGTATTAGAAAAAATGAAAAAAAGAAAGAGGCTTACCAAGAGCAGACAGGCTTGGTCTAGATCTGGGCTTCACACCTAATAACCTAGTGAAATGGGGCTCAGAGATGCATTCTAGGATGACACATTAGTTTGACATGCTAGAAAGAGAAAGAACTATTTGGATTCATCTCATCTTTTGGGAGATGAAACTTCCAGATGGTTCCTGACTTTAAATAAGCTGTTTATAAGAATATATCTTTTTAATAGTGTTAAATAAAAGGCAATATTTAATAATGAACAAGGATCATATAATCTCACCAAGTATGGCTTTTAAAAATGTATTACTTGTGGAGAGACAGCAAATTATAGGAAAACATTTAGACTTTTTGGGAAAGGCAATTATGTCTTGACACAATAAATAAATTTAATGATTTAAAAACAACACCTCAGCCTGATCAGCAGCTTAGATTTGATTCATATTAGAGAAGCAACAACTATTTAATAGATTCATTGGTATTAATCTAATATAATCCTCAGAAAATACAAAAACACATAGAGATATAATGATAAAATGAACCAAACTCATAATTTACTATAGATTTAAGTTTAAGTATAAAAGGTATGTATTTTAAAAGGTATTTGAAATGTTATGAGAAATCACCCATACTAAATTTGGAGTTGAAGTTTAAATTTTGAAGAGGAATTTACCATCTTTTATAAAGTTTTAAAAACAAAATTTGGGTTTTAAAAGTTTTGGTCTTCAGATATATGATTTAAATAAATTGAGCTTTAGACACCTTACAGATGGTAATGACTGCTCCTACATGCAAAAAGACCCCTCAGAAAAGAAAGAATCCGCTAATAAATTGTCTCAATTTTGTCGTGTCTCTCTTAGCACTGCATTTTTTTAAAAAGTTGACTTTAATTCTTACAGGACTAAAATAAAACAAACAAAATGTCTTTGGGGATACTGCAGCCCAGATATAGGACTTTGGGTACATAGGGGTGTTAATTTGGGTGCTAAAAAAGGTTTACAATATTATATACACACTTTCCCACTATTCATCAAGGAAAATAAAACTTCTTACACTTGTATCTAACCAAATGTGTCCACTATAAGAGCCAGATTATGCTGCAGTAACAAACAAGTCCAAAATGGTTTATAACAATAAAGGTATATGTTTGTCTACTGTGGGCGGGCTTGAGGCTTGCCTGCATGTTGCCACGGTTCCTCACTTCAGGGTTGAGGTTGATGCAATGGCCACTGTCTGAAAGTTGCTGGTAGCCATGGCACCATGACAAAGGCAAAAGAAAAAAAAGTGCTCTGAGGACTCTCACATCAACACTTAAATGCTTGGCCTGTAAGGAACACATGCCATTCCCCTTCACAGCTCATTGATTGCAAATGATCATGTGGCTCCATTCTATACAGGAAGTTTCAGAAGGCACAGCCCTACTATGTGCCCAGAACATGGAAATCCAGAAATATTTGATGTCCCTTGTTTTTTGCTGAAGCTTTTGTGAGCAAACTAAGGTTAAAAACTATCCTTGTTTGTTAAAAGAAAATGACACCACAATCATAGATAAGGGCATGCTTTTGTTGATAAAAAGAGTCATTCCTTTTTTTTTTTTTTTTCCCTCATGTATGTGGATGATGTGTGTTCCCCACTGGGAAGGGATTCACCATTCCTCTACTGAAATGCCACAGTCCCAGCAGGGGTCAGCTCTAACATCTTCACTAAAATCTGCACCCTGTATCTTTGAAATGGTTCTGCCTCTTTGCACAAGCAAATTCAAACAGATAGCTTTCCTTATTCACTGCTATCACTACTTCCATATCCCTACTCCCCTAAGCCTAATCTCTTGACCCCTAAGCACACACTCAGGCTTGAGTATCATTTCCTCTCCAAGCATAGCCCAGGCCTTGGTGGGATCATGTCTCTGTCAACCCCAACAATGACTGTTTCTTATTTTTCTTTTCTTAAGGGCTCACCTTGAAAGGTGGTGTCTCCTTCAATCTGTCTGAGGCTGACAGGTTAATAACTGGATTCTGACAAATGCTGGAAGAGACAGAAGTGCTGCCAAAGACTGAAAATGCTTTTTTTTCTTTTCTTTTTCTTGTTTGCTACTAGCCCTTCCTCACTCCCACTCACCATGACTTCTACCGATCACACTTGTCTGTGCTGCCTTAAAAATGTTCTTACAAATTTATTGCTACTGACATTTTGGGGGGCATACCTCAGAAGAGATAGTCCATGCTTTTAGGAAGTATAATAAAAATCCTTTAGGGACAGCTAGTGATCATTTCTATTAAGTATCTAGGATCCAGAACATGTCCATATATCCATGGTTCTTTTTACCAGCTTAATAATGAAATACAAACATGTTCTGATAACCAATATAACTCCTATTTTTGCAATTACTTTAAAAGAAAAGGCACTCTGCACCCTTCTGTGATACCTTATTTCCATCTGAGTCCTTCCCTCCATGGAGACAATATCACAGGCTAAAAGCAATATTTATATGTTGAGATCTTTTATGAAATGTGTGAAATAGTGGAAGAAGATATAGGATAAACTATAGAATATACAGAAATTTGGGTAACCTTTTCATAATCATGTGACTGCTTTCTGACAAATATTACCAGAATGTAAGCTGTAGGACAAGGACTATGTGTGTCTTATTCTTGAATATGTCTCAAGTGTTAGAAATGTGCATAGAACAAACAGAATATTTTTTTACTGAATGAATTAAAATCAGAATCTCCTAGTAGATAAAGGTATGTCAATTATTACCAAAACCAGTTTGCTCACTTTCTCTGATAAGTATTCTCACCAGATGTGGTGAGATGAAAGTTGCAGAAATCTTTGACAAGGCATGGAGAAGAAGGAAGACTGAGAATAACTTTTGAGAATCACTACCTTTCCAAACTCTTATATTTTATTAACCATTATCTAACGACCCTGCTATATCTTTTGCTATGTCTTAATAAAATATTATCAAGACAACAGGATGTTGGGGTGGAAATGAAGTCTCCCAAACTTCTGCAACTAATGCATGTGAAATGATGACTTCCTGGCATCACTGCCCTAACATTTATTTAAAGACCCTTCACACACCAGAGAAACATCATCATTAAGGGGTAAATAAGTATGGATTAGTCCAGCAGTAATCAAAACAATATTCACTCTGAAAGGAGGCTGGATTCCTTGTTTTTAAAATGAAGAAGGCATCCACTCTGTTTGAAAATGTAGCCAAACTTCACACCTCCCTGCCTCAGAGTAGTCTTGAACATGCAAACAGTAACTAAGCCAGAGCTTTATGACTGTGGTGTATGCGTAATGGGGTCAGCCCGGCAGAACAAAATGCTGCAGTAATTTTGCATCCATTACAGCTTAGAGATGGAAGCTATGAAAGAGAAAGGGCATGCAGGAGAGAGTTAGAGGTCTGCAGATGCCTCTGTAATGAACTCCCACAAAGAAAATCTCTCCCCTGTGTCTCCATCCATTAGCCGGCTGTACTGCTTCTTTCAGTAATGGAGGACAACCCCCACCATTCCTGAGAGGCACATGGGGTGAGCTGGATGGTCTTTCCCTTTCCACCCAGGTCTTAAATTCTGAGGAGGATCGGTCTAGTGATTCAAGAAGACCAGGTTCTGAGAACCATGTCCCCACAGCAATTGAATTTTGTGCTATTGGAATAGTCTTTGGAAGTATCAGCTTAGGTGTCAAACAGCCTGTCTTCAAATCCTAATTATACCAGTTGTGATCTAGGTGACCTTGCGTGTATCCCTCATTCTCTCTAGTCTTTAGCTTCCATGGGTGCATAATGGGTACAATAATAAAATCTACCCCATAGGCTTAGTATACATAAGATGGCATGCAAAGCACTTGTTCTGACACTTAGTAAGTGCTCTGAAAATGGTGGATATTATTAGATTTACTATGAGTACCAGTAACAATCATATACATGGCATTCTATTGAGGAACAAAATACATCACGGTAAAACAAATCTAATGAAAAGACTGATCATATGTGTGAGAAGATCATATACTCAATATGCTTTCTTTCTCGAAGCATAAAGCATCAGATCAGTATTTTCTCCAATCAATACTAGGCTGAGATCTAGGCAGGCAGATACATTTACTTTCACTTGGAATAATAAGACACATTTCTCCCTGGCCAATCAAAAGTTAGATAATCTCACATGGAATGGAAAGTTTCTCTTTCAATTTTCTTGAATATCTGTCACCTCCTCAAATTCCTGCCAGAGTGGTATTTCTGAACCATACATGTGATTTTATACTTTTCTTAAAAGAATCATCTTGTACCATTTTTACAAGTTATGAAGGTCAAAAGGGGGTAGAGACACACCTTATCAAATAATTACCATTACTGGCAATAAAGGATTCTCTTACTGGAAGGATATGTTTAGTTTGGGCTTTTTTTCTTTTTTTTTTTTTTTTGAGACAGAGTTTCGTTCTTCTTGCCCAGGCTGGAGTGCAATGGCGCAATCTCGGCTGACCGCAGCCTCCGTCTCCCAGGTTCAAGCGATTCTCCTGCCTCAGCCTCCCAAGTAGCTGGGATTACAGGCATGTGCCACCACGTCTGTCTAATTTTGTATTTTTAGTAGAGACGGGGTTTCTCCATGTTGGTCAGGCTGGTCTCAAAATCCTGACCTCAGGTGATTCGCCCTCTGTGGCCTCCCAAAGTGCTGGGATTACAGGCGTGAGCCACCGTGCCTGGCCTAGTTTGCGCATCTTAAACTTAAGATGCCGGTGGCTCATTAAGCTTATATTTATCAGGCAGTTGCAAATTCAGGCCAGACCCAAGAGTAATGTCGTATTTAAAGATAATACCTCTGGGAGTCATTTCCAGAGACGTGTGAGAGTTGAAGTGCTGGGCATGTCTGAGGTCGACAAGAGAGAGGTATAGACTGAAGAGAAGATAAAAAGGCCATTCTTTGCTGGGTGCCATGGCTCACACCTGTAATCTCAGCACTTTGGGAGACTGAGGTGGGAGCATCGCTTGAGCCCAGGAGTTTGATTCCAGCCTGAGCAACATAGCAAGTCCTCATCTCTCCAAAATATTGACCAGGTTGTTCTCAACAACCTGTTATCCATAATAGGAAAGGAATCCAGTATGTGCATGACTAAGTTAACTACTCAAAACTTTCAAAACCAGAAGCCTAAAGAAGTGATAGTTTATTTTAAGTAATATACACAAAACCTAATATAGTAGACCACTTTTGAGTAATCATTTAATTATGGTATTTTATCATATTATTTTAAAAAAATATGCTGAGTACATAAACATGACTAAAATATCAACAGGTCTCGATTCCTGGAGGCTGCAGTGAGCTATGATTGTGCTACTGCACTCTAGCCTAGGTGACAGAGTGAGACCCTGTCTCATAACAAAAAAAAAGAATATATATCTACTTGGAGAGAATGCCTGCATCCAGAGCAGTGTTTCTCTATCTTGGCAGTATTCACATATTGAGACGAATAATACTTTGTCCTGTGAATAATACTGTCCTGTGCCCTGTAGGATGTTTAGCAGCACCCCTGGCCTCTACCCACTAGACATCAGTAGCAGTGGACCCTCTTCTCTTCCTTCTTCCCCTCCTCCTAGTTATTTGTGATAACTAAACACATCTCCAGACATTGACCAATGTTCTCTGAGGGGCAACATTGCCCTGTTTTAGAGAAAAAGGGTAGAAGAAACCAGAAAATGTGACTACAAATGTCATTAAGCGTCAAGATCAGGAAACTATGGTATTGTAAAAGTCAACTGAAGCACTCAAGAAGAGAATAATCAAGGCATGGCTCTTGATTTGTGATCCCCCAGACTAGCAGCGTGGACAGTATCTGGGAACTCGTTAGAAATGCAAATCCTCAGTCTACATCCTAGCCCGACGGAATTAGGAACTCTGGGTGTTGAATTCAGAAATCTGTATTTTAACTATTAATAACTCACCAGTGATCCTGATGCACAAAAAAAGTTTCAGAACCATTGATTAAGAGTATCAAAAGTTGCATGGAAGTCAAAGATAAGTACACAAAAAGTTCAGTTAATGTGATCATTGAGAAGTTGGATTGTAGCATTTGGGCAGCCACTTTAAGTAGTGACATAGGGGGAAAAAACCAAACTGGGATGTATTCCAGAAAGTAGACAGTGAGGAAGTAGAGGTAGAGAATGAAGACTACTTTTCAAAAAAGTTAGTAGTGATGTGAAGACATCATAGTAATTTTATACCTTTGCATTATCAGGAGTAATTTTGATTTGCTTTAGGATAAAGGAGACAATTTAAAGGTCAAGGAAAAGAAGTCGAGGCCGATTAAGAGACTAAAGACACAAAAAGTCAAGAGGGGGTAATTGATGGAGGAGTGCTGTTGGACTGAGCAATGGGCCACTGCTTTACTTAGCCTTTGTTCCCATGGTGGAGACATTCAAAAGGTCCCCAAGTTAGACTGCCCCAGTATACTTCTTCTGGAGTTGGATAATTTTTTTTAATAATATACAACTTCCTTCTGGTCAATATGATCCATTCCTTGGTCTAGTACAATGATTCTCAACCAGGAATGCTTTTTTGACTTCCAGAGGACATTTGGCAATGTCTGGAGACATTTTTTATTTGCACAATTGGAAGGGGAGTGCTGCTGGTATCTAGCAGGCATAAGATAGGAATGGTGCTAAACATCCTACAATGTGCAGAACAGTCCCTAACAGCAAGTTGTTATTTGAAAATGTCAACAGAGCTGAGGCTGAGAAAGGTCGGTCTACTGTGAACAACTCATGTATCACTCCATTGTACAATGTGAATTTTAGGTAACAATGTCCATTCTCTCCAGGTAGGAAAACTGCGTCTCAACTTTAAACTTTGCCTAATCTTTTTCATCATTACCCTGCTACAAAGAGGTACTCACTTCATTTGGCTGTAAATTCTATGACACTTCACATCAAAAAATTTACTTGTAACTCTACCACTACATATCTTGGCCTATATTTGGTCCATATGCTAACAGGTGAATTGTTCATTTGCTTATGGTCAATAGGATATTTTTTATTTAGAAAGTAAACTACAGAGTCCAGAGACTAGCCTGGCTTTTTTCAAGGTACTGCATTTCACATTGTTTAAATTTTGTAAAATCCCAGGCATGTGCAGACAACACTTCTGAAAGTGCTTATTTCTCTTTTCTATGTACACACAGTCTGTTGAATAAGTCAGCAAAGATGCCAGTTCTTTACATTAATCCCGTGTCCTAGTTTATTCATTCAAAGTTTCAAGAAACCAGACACATAACAAAGAACTCTGCCAACAATTACAGAAGGAAGGAACAGACAAGGGTCTATTTGTTTGAAAGATCTATTGTCCACAATATTGCCGCCAGCCAGGCTTCAAGGCTGATGTACAAGTGAATGCAAAATGCATCCTTCTTCCCTTCTCTCAGCAGTCCACTCCTACATGCTACAATACTCATGACTGCAAGGTGACGAGTAAGATAAAAGAAAAGAAAAGGAGGGGGCTGGGAAGAAGAGAGGCCTACAGCTCCAGAGAGAAGGGCTAGTTCTGCAAAGGGTTACTTTTTAAACATCTTCTCTTGGAACATTTAAGATTAATAGTTATGTGTAGGAAGAAAGAATGTGTTGATATTTTAGTCATGTTTATGTACTCAGCATATTTTTTAAAAATAAAATGATAGAATACCATAATTAAATGATTACTCAGAAGTGGACTATATTAGGTTTTGTGGATATTGCTTAAAATAAACTATAACTTCTTTTGGCTTCTGGTTTTGAAAGTTTTGAGTAGTTAACTTAGTCATGCACATACTGGATTCCTTTCCTATTATGGATAACAGGTTGTTGAGAACAATAGATTAACTTATTAGTATTTGTTCCTTTCACAAAATGATTCTGATGGCTACCCATTTTTTTCTCTTCAAAGCTTTCCTTTTTTCCCAATTTTTTTTAGTCTCACAATAATACAAGAAATTGACCTGTTAAGTTCTGATACATTTATACTTGCTAATAAACTTTTTTTTTTTTTTTTGAGATGGAGTCTCTCTATCACCCAGGCTGGAGTGCCACGGTGCGATCTCAGCTCACTGCAACGTCCACCTCCCAGGTTTAAGAGATTCTCCTGCCTCAGTCTCCCGATTAGCTGGGACTATATCATGCATCACCACGCCTGGCTAATTTTTGTATTTTTAGTAGAGATGGGGTTTCACCATGTTGACCAGGCTGGTCTTGAACTCCTGACCTCAGGTGATCTGCCCGCCTCGGCCTCCCAAGGTGCTGGGATTACAGGCATGAGCCACTGTGCCCAGCCCTTGTTAATAAACTTTAAGCAGGGAGAGAAGGTCTAGAACTCAGGGCTTTGTGCAGCTAGCACTAGCAGCCATCAGCAGATAGATAAAAGCAGCACAGGTAAAAGAATACTGATGAAATTGAAATTTCACAGTGGACAGTGAGTATTTGAGATTTTAATTCAAGATTTTCCAAAAAGATTGAGTAGTAGTCAAATGCTATTTGGCCTTCCAGAGGCAAATTGCCAGCACTCACATCAGCTCTTTCTTGCCCATACCTTGTCTTCCTGCACTATTCCAGAGTCAATGGTCCTCAGCCTTTCATGTCCTTACTCCTTTTTCCCTTCTCCATTCTCAATTTCCCAAAAAACTTTTTAAAAAATAATTTCTGGCTAGGCACAGTGGCTCACGCCTGTACTCCCAGCACTTTGGGAGGCCGAGGCGGGCAGACCACGAGGTCAGGAGATCAAGACCATCCTGGCTAACACGGTGAAACCCCATCTCTACTAAAAGAACAAAAAATTAGCCAGGTGTGGTGGCGGGTGCCTGTAGTCCCAGCTATTTGGGAGGCTGAGGCAGGAGAATGGCATGAACCTGGGAGGTGCAGTTTGCAGTGAGCCAAGATCACACCACTGCACTCCAGCCTGGGCGACTGATCGAGACTCCGTCTCAAAAAATAAAAAAATAAATAAATAAATAAATAAATAAATAAATAAAATAATAATTTCTCATTGAAAGAAGACTTGCAAAAATAGTGAATTCCCAGGACCCTTTATTCATCTTTTCCTCATGTTAACATTTACATAACTATAGAACAATGATCCAAACCAGGCAGTTGACCTTAATGCATCATATTAACTAAACTATAGACCATATTACTTGTCATCAAAACAGCAAATGCCAAATGCATCCATCTATTTAGCAAGTATTTATTAAGTTTCTACTACATGGTATGCACCATTCTAAGCTTTTGGAACAAAGCAATGAATAAAAAGACAAAAGTGACAGTGGTGTCCTCATGGAACTCACATCCTAGTTGGTAGATGATAATTCAGTTCATTCTGCAAGCAGCATTATTACTGCACATCATTTGAGATGATAAAGGAATGGATCTAGAAAGGACCTGTAGAGGACAGTGCAATTTGAAGGTTGGCCCACACCATCAGTTCACACAAGCCGTCTCGCAGATGCTCTTTGTAGTTTCTTATGTGTGTTCTTCCAACCCTCTTGGAACGTACAATGTGTCTTAACTCTCTTCAGTTTTTCTGTTACGAAAATGCATGCTTTTATATTTATTATTGATAGTTATTGTTTTTCCTGAATTTTTTTCCCATTGCAACAGATCTGAGTAAATTAAAATAATATAACATAATACAAATAATTGTCTATGACAAGTATGGTATTCTTTGAATCTACCTACAAACAAAACATAGTGACAAATGAAAGAAGAGTAGGAAATTTTTAATTTACATATCTTATTAGCCATGTTGCCTTTCTTTTCTAATTTTTTTAACTTTTAAGTTGAGGGGAACAAGTGCATGGTTGTTAGTAACTTTTTATACCTTATTATTATTATTTTTTAAATAGAAAACTACAGCCTCATAGAGATTTGGCCTAGTGTGCTTTATTGTAGGTACTGGGAAGGTAGGCCAATGCTTATTTTCAAGGTTAATTAGCCCTTGCATGACAAACGATACTTATAAATATGTCTAATATTCTCCTTAAACTCTCCTTATAAGCAGCTGAGGCTACATAATTTAATATTAAAAATAGCTTGTACAATTGCTAAAATGGTCACCTGAAAAATATATAATGTATGAAAGAGAGAGACAGAAAGAAATTCTTAATGAATCTAGGCAGGACTCTCAGGCCAGTAAGATCTTATCACAGACAGAGCCTGGGGTTGCCAAATCCCCACAAGCCTGGAAAAAATCTGTTTAAATATTCATTTCCTTCATGTATGACAATAAAAGGAAGGTTCACCAATATTGTCATACTGAGTTATTCCTTGCCAAGTTTTTAAACTTTTCTGCCTTTGCTGAAAATTTTTCCTTTGTTTACTCAGGCTTTTGGAGAAAATTATTCTGAAATATTTGTCTACAGAATACAACAAATAAAAACATTAGAAATAGAATTATCTAGTTCTTCTAAGTTTGATTAGTGAATCATCAAACTTACAAGAAGATAAGGCTAATTGATTGATAAGGCTACTTCTGAATCCACAAACATGGCAGCCCCAAGTCCAGTTTAAATCTGCTAATGGATAGACAATTTATGAGGATTAGCTGAAGCCAGTCCACACTCTTCTGAATACACAACATAAAAATATCAGGAAATAAGCAACCAACTGGGGAAAGTCCATTAAAAACCAATGTAACATTCACTGAACATCTATTACTTAAAAGAATAACGTCTTTGGACATTGAAATAGTACGCTCTACCTGAACAGAAATTGTCATATTATCTATCGTAGACAGTAGCCTATTTTTTAGAGTGATTACAAGGGAAATGAGTGCTCCAATGCTGTCCAACTCAACCATTTAGAGATTTAGTTTGAGTTTTTGTTTTCTCTAATGATATCTCCCCATTAGTTCTCTTTAAGCTTTCTCCCAGTTTTCTGACAGCAGCGTAAAAAATTTAATTCTCTCATTTCTCCTCCCTCTACTGTGCATCACAAATTGCCTCCCCTTCTTCTAGAAAGGAAAAATTTCTTTCTCCCTTCAAGTTATTTTTGAGTATGTATGTATTGTTATGCTATATTAAACTAGAAGCAGAGAGTTCATTCATTTTAGGAAAAATTTTATTCCATTTGGTGGCATTCAAAAAAGTATGCTGTATTGAACTGTGATTACCATGGATGTGGACAGTTTAAGAGTGCCATTTACTAGTTTTAATTTTAAGTTTCAAGTTTCAGACAGTACTCCTTAATGTTTAAAACTATAAGAGAAACTGTGCCCTTCATAGCTATTACATAACATTTAAGTTTGATGTCCTACATATCCAGCTAATGTATGGTTCTCCATTGAGTGCTTTACTATATTTGTCAGGTAGCAAAGTCCAAGGCTAGCACAAACGATGTTTTTGTGTGTGTGCCAAAACTCTGGATGATGGATATAGTCTTGAAGTTCCCAAAACATTCACTGATGATGAAGGCATAACAGATGATTTTCATTCTAAGCAAAAGAGAATTGGTCTGTCTATAATTTCATGAGTATTCACACAAAGTACTTCAGGAAAAATGATTAGGATTTTCTAAAAATCACCCTTGAAAATACAGGGCTACCTTACATTGTCTTCTAACCCAAGGGAATTCACTTTCCTAAGTTCATAGGGACATTCTGTCCCCATACACATTAATATACATATACACACTTATCATATAAAACACAGTGACACGTAGCTACTACTCCTTCCCTGTTCACAAATTCTACCTTCACATATAGTTCCTAAGATGGCCTCTGACCACTGTGAAAATTAAATTATTATTTTGTTTACTATATAGGGAATAGATACTAACCATATTTAATCATTTCCTTTGGCACATTTATATTGGTCCTGACTAAAATAAAATATATATTTGGCTCTAGGTGAGGATTAATCTTTTTTTACTTGGATTAGGCAATACAAGTCAAATAAAATATAAATACTAACCTAAAACATATTTCTGTTTCTACCCCAGTCTTCTCCATCTCGGCAAACACTACCATCATCTACTCAGCCTTTCAAGTCAAAAAGAAAGTAGATGCCCTCAATTCCTCCCTTTCTATTAATTCTCTCTCTACCTCCCTATCCAAGAACCACTGGCAAATGTTGTTAGCACTACCCAAAAAATACATCCAATATTTCCACTTTCTCCTAACCTCCCTATTAAAAGCCTTCTAAGTAATCTTCCCTTTTCCTCTCTAGCTCCCTCCCTTACAATCCGTGTTTCATAAAGCAACCAGAGTACCCTTTCAAAATATAAATCAGATTACATCATTCCCTCAGTTAAAACCCACCAATGTTTCCATAGCTTTTGGAATTATATCTTAATTGCTTACTATGGCCTTCGATGCTGGCAGTCTGGCCAGTTGCCTTACCAATTTTGTTGATGCCACTTTCACCCTCTGCCAAGCATTAATCCCCCTCAAAGTTCACATACTCATCACATGATCAGCCACTTCTCAGCCTTCATGTCTCAACTTCAATGTCCTCAAAGAAGACCACACTACTGGCTTTAGGAAGTAGGTGTGTCTGCTCTCTACTCTCTCAAGTCCTGAGTACCCTCATCAGTAAAATATGAAGGTTGTATTAAATGAACTTTATGGTGTTTTTTAGCTGAGGAGGGCTCTTAGGTCCAGCAGAATATTATAAGCTATAATTAGCATAGTCAGTCATGATACATAGAGCTTGTCATTTACCTTTCATATTCTTTAGTTAGTATAAATTTACTTTGCTTCCTAAATCTGCATAAGGAAGCCATCTGTGTATCTAGCCTTCTAAGCTATTTCTATTTCTACCTAGCTACCTTTTCATCTATACTTTTTTTAAAAAATCACAAATTAGTTAACTAAGTCTTAGACACCAAGGCTTGTTTTTATTTGGAAATAAATAGCAAAATATACTTCATTAACTGGTTGTTTTCATTTTAAATATTCACTCCTATATACTTTTGCTTGAAACCACCAGTTATCATGCATAAAGAGATTCTATTTGGTGAATTTTATAAGCCTTTCAGTCATCTTATTAAAAGAATGTTCTGTATAGGGAAGTACTAAACACAATCAATTATGGTAAAATTTATATAATAGTCCCCAAATTAATGGCTATTTTAGAAAGATACTTTTTAAAATTTGTTCATTTAAATTATATGATGTGTCCAGAGGAGAGTAAGGTGAAGTAATTATGTAGAATCAAATGAAAATTCCCTTTGGTGTAGTCCAACTGTACTATTTTATTAGTTTGGTAATTTTTTCTTTGTTTTGCTCTTTTTTTAATGCACTTAACTTTTTTTTCTTTTTTATTCTTAGAAATGCAGAATTCTGTTCAGTGTCTTCCTACAGGAATCAAGAGAAAGCACATTTGAAGAATCTGGGCTTGGGTAAAGCAGTTCTTCTGGCTTATTCTTTTTCATTTCATTGAAAGAAAGAAATATTATCAAGATAAAACATCTATACTGCCAACATGGGTTCCAACTCTTGAATTGGGTTTCAGTCCAAGCAGACTCTCTTCATCCTGCTACCTACCGTCATCCAAGGCCATTTTGTTGGAAGATTATGAGCTGATATTATACTATCTGAGAGATTATAATCCTGAAATGTACTGACCTCAAGAACATGGAAAAGACAGTCTATGCTACCATACTGAAGGGGAAGAAAAGAGGCTAGAAGACAGAATAGGGAGAGATTAATTCAAAACGTTTAAAACTATAGAGAACAGTCTCTCTGCAGTTACTCGGCACCCAATATATGTTAATTGTTGAGTATATAGTGGTGATCAAAGCAGAACTGACCTCTGTCTTCGGGAGGTTTAAACACTAGTAGGTTAGGAAAAGAAAAGTCAGAAAAGTAGTAGTAGTAATAATAATCATAACGATAAGAGAAGAAAGAAAAGCTAGACTAAATAAATAAATATTCGTGTTTTTATCAGGAGTTGAGAACCTATTTTAAATCTCTTACTTTCACTCTTGTGAACCTGCCCCAGGCCCAGTACCTTTGACATTCTCTCCAGTGCCAGATATAATTAGAAACCTGTGTTTCTCCACTGTTTCTCTGATACAACCTTTTCTGTTAGCTCCTTAAGTAGTTTAGCCGTTTAGCAGACTTTCCCTCAATACTTCAGAGAAGGCTTATGTTTGCTCAGCTCTGCCTGAAATGGGGTAAGAATTTGGGGGTGGAAGGAAACATGGGGAAATGCTTGGGAAGGAGGATGGATTCTAAGGAATCCCATATTTAGACAACTTTACCCATTGGGTAAAACTCAGAGGAGGAATAAATCGATTTTCACTAAAACTTCAACCAGAGAAATGTATTGTTTTGAGATGCAAGTTGCTTTAATGTACTTTCTTTAGCCCAGATATTTTGTGTAAAATAAAAAATTACAAGTTATTTGAAAATTTTTACTCTTTTATGCAGAAAGCTCTTGACAGAACATTTTTATGGAAAGGTAGACAATTCACGTGTGACTGAAGAAGTTCTTTTTTTGGCTTGAGATGGTTTGTAGAGATAATACCTGTGCATAAGACATTAAAATAGTATTCATAAATGAAAACGATACTATTGATCTGTCTGTGGATTATTTTTTCTGATGGTGGCATATCTATGCCATGATCAAGTCATTCTTTTCATCCAGTTTTTGTTATAATTAAAATCACAAACCTGAGAAGTGTCTGTCTGGGGTGAAATAAAATGTTCCTATGCTTTTGGTCACAAGAAAACCATATTACTTAAGCAAGAAATAAACTGCTATTTCAGTCTCAGTGTATTCTGGCCAAAGGAGCAACTGGGCCCAGACATGAAATATCATGAAAACTGCCGAATTATTATTCCATACAATGAATGAGTGTTGGCAAAATAAAATCTTGATGAGTAAATTCCTCAGTCCACTAAAACACAGCTTCTTTGAAATGTTGGATATAGCAATTGCTAAAGGCTTACCCAAAGGAAAAAAAAAAAAGCCCTATCATAAGATTAAAATTTTACAAACCCCAGAAAAATTAGGATGTGATAACTGGGGGAAAGGTGAATTTCCTTTAAGTGATAAATAGGAAAGTGATGATTAAATGCTCTAAACTCCCTGCCAGAAGGTAAAAGAGAGAAATAGCCATCTAATGAGAAGTCTTAATGAGAAGTTGATTACCTCAACATTGGTATCAATTAATGAGATAATTCAGACACTAATAGAAAGGACTGTCTGGTTTTCCTCTTGTATTTTCCACAGAGCCTGACCCACGGCATTAATGAAAACTCCAACTTCCTTTTAGAGGTCAAGAAGTTAGAAAGAAAGACTTCAAAGTTTACCAGAGTCATAGTCTTTATCATAGAAGAGAACGAGTGGGCTGGAAGTCCACTGTGGAGTGGGGAGGATATTCCTGTGCCCTGTGTTCCCCCTACCTGTTTACTATATCTCATCTATACTCATAGCCTCATTAACTCATTCATCCATTCGTCTATGAATTCATTCATGTGTGCCTGTAGTATACAAAGACTACTGCCCACTTTTGCCATGTAGAGTGCCAGAGGAAGGGAAATATGTGGATGTTTCCACATGTCCTATTGACATGGAACTTCCATTCTAATAAGACAGAAAACTAAATACTCAACACAATTTAATAAGTGCTATGGCATAGAAGGAACAGGGAAACTTGTTTGACTGTGAGGTCACAGAAGACTTCCCTGATAACAAAAACGTTTCAGATGAGAATCTGAGGAATTAGTTGGAATTACTGGATGAAATGTGCACATCTGTGCATGTGCAGGCATGGGTATTTATGTGCACATGTGTACACATGAATCTATTCATATGTGTGCACATGTGTACACATATGAACATGTGTCTATTGCTTGTGCAGATGTGCATGTATGTGTGCAGATTTGCACATGTGTGTTGGTGTGAACACATGCATTTGTGTACAGATGTGTATGTATGTTGGGAAGGCATTCTGGTATCGGGCAACTGGGTCAGAAAGGACCTTCACATATACATTTGAGAACTGAAATACAGAAGGAGAATATACCTCAAAATGAGGCTGGAGACACAGGCAGGCCCAGATCAAACAATACCTCAAAGTCATGTTAAGAACGTGGGTCTTTTTTTATTCCCTAATAGCTTCATGTAATCATTGCAGGAACTTGGGCAATGGAATGTCAGAAATGAGACTTGTATTTCAGTAAAAGTCACTGGCTGTCCTACCATGTTGATAAATCACAAATGGATCTCTGGCCCCAACTTCCCTCCCGAACTCCAGGCCAAAATTTAGAATGTTCTGCTGGACATCTTCTACCAGGCGCTTAAAACTTAAAGAAGCTAAAAACGAACTCATTATCTTTTCCCAAGAACGTGTTGTTCCTGTCTCTAATTCACCTTGGGGTAATGGCACCATCCTCAAATCATTACTCAAACAAAGAACCTTACAGTCATTGCACTATTTTCTTATTCCCTTCAACCATCAATCAATTAATTGATCATCAAACCTAAGTACATATGGCCCCTCCTTTCCAACAGGATTCCTCTTTTTAAATCCCAAATCACCTTCTTCCTGTTTTGCCACAGCCCTCTGCATATAACCTCTAAAGTCCAGTGAATCCTCCACCTGGGCCAACCCATTGCCACTACCTTTCTCAAGAGCCCTGAAGCATTCCCCATTTACTTTTGCAGCAAGGTGTACAGAGAAGAACAGGGGCTTGGGACTTATGCCAAGCTTGAACTCTGGCCTTGACTACCTGCCATCTGAATTTCTTGAACAAATTACTCATGTCATTTTATTTTCAGGTTTATCCACTATGTAATGCAACTATTTACCTCTCAGACCTGACAAGACAATGTATTAAAAATAATTAGCTGAGGACCTGGCCCATTGTAGGCACTCACAAATTTTTCACAATTTGATCTTAATTCACCTTTTTCTCACTTACTACCATTTTTTCACCCCACCTATAATTTAATCATGCATGCCAACCCCTCTTTTCAAACCTACCATGTAATTTATCATAATATTCCCTTGTCCTATGATGTCCTTGCCTAATTGGCCTGATATAATCTTCCCTATCCTTGAAGACACAGTTCAAAATAACCCTTAGAGGTAAAGATTTTTATGACACCACCACTCCTTTTGCCTTATAAAAACTATTCACACCTTCACCGATCTCCTCTAACACTTGGTAAATATATTTACATAACTCTATATGTCGCTCTGGATTGTTGGCTCATTGAAGACTAAGACTATCTAGACTATCTTTTCCCATTGCCTTGCACATGGGAGGTACTCAGTAAACATTTACTGAAAATAATTGAAAAGCCTGTGTTCTAAGAGACATTCTACATGAAGAATATGCCAGAGTGAACAAAGTCAGGAGGCCAGGAAGTTTGACCTTGGGAACTGTCAATACCTACTTGCCTCCTGAAAATGTAAGCTTAGCAGGGTGAGATAACAAGAAAAATATAAAATTGAAGTAGCATTTTCTTTATCTTCTCCAGTCCTAGGAAGGTTCTCATTATGTTCTCAAATACTCAACAGAGGGGAATTAGGTTAAATGATCCTAGTCACGTCTTTGGGTGAGAAAGATGTAAGGAACTATACCAGGGCAGAAGGGAACTATATTATATTCCTAGGGTTTGCCATAACAAACTGGGTGGTTTAAAACAACAGAAATTTATTTTTCACAGTTCTGGAGACCAGAAGTCTCAAATCAAGACATGAGCAGAGCAATGCTCTCTCTGAAAGCTCCAGAATTGGTTCCATTACTTTCTCTTAGCTTCTGATGTCGCCAGTGATCCTTGGCATATCTTGGCTTGTAGATGCATCACTCCAGCCTCTGTCTCTGCCTTCACGTGGCATTTTTCCCTGTGTGTGTCCATATCTTCTCATGGCACTCTCTTCTCTGTGCCTGTCTCTGTGTTTACCTTCTTTTCTTTTGAGAACACCAGTCATATTGGATTGAGGACCCACAATACTCTCCATCTTATGAATGGCCCCATCTTAGCTTCCATTTTAATCACATCTGCAAAGAACCTCCTTCCAAATAAGGTCACACTCACAGGAACAAGGGATTAGGACTTCTTTGACATATCCTTTTGGGGGACTCAATTCAACCCACAGCAAATATCAAGGTAGCACAGTCCAGTGCTCTGGCTTCATGCCGCACACAGGATGGAGAAGATGTTTGCAGAAGCTGTCTCGTGGTCAGAGGGAGCGTTGCTGACCACACATCACTGAACACACCTGGAGTGGGAGTACTTCAAACAGACAACACAGGGCATGGCCCAAAGCACTACAGCCAAAAGACCCACAGAAAATATGTCTCCACCATGACTGAAGAACCATCCTCATCCCGACGTTTTTCTGTCGTGGCTAGCTGGGGAACCATATATAGCTCCATTATGAGAAAAGGAAATTGCTAAATTTCCTGCCACTCCAGAAGGTGGGGAAACTTCAGGAAAACTTAAGCTTGAATTGGAGAAATAAAGAGAAGTAGCAATTCTTACACATAAATGGTGTGACAATTTCAGAGTCATTCCACAAGTACAATAGTGGGACACTAACTATTGTACTATAAAGAATGAGGCCATGAAAAACCACTGCCCTGAGTGCCTCCCCTCCTTTTCGACATGGCTCCTGGCTAGGCTGTTGGCTGTATATCAAGAGCAAGGAATGGGAAACAGCCAGTTATTCTGGCATACAGAATTTTAGAAAGTCAGATACATTACATTCTGCCAAAGTGTTAAGTTTGCTTTGTACTTGCTTTCTTATCTGCCCCTTAGGAAAAAAACAAAGTAAAGATCAAGGGATTATTAATTATGAACCACTATTTTAGTAGTAGAGCTTCTGTTTCAACATTCACATCAATCCATAAGATCTATCTATTTTTTTTATTTAGTTTTGGACCAAAAAGAATGATCCCTGGGAGCAAGAAACAACCTGTGGGTTAATGAGCCCAGAAGTACCGGAAACACATGACTTAATACAGCAACTTTTGACTGTGCCCAGAGGTACAGGGTTTCATGTCCCCATTTGAGGGTGTTTAGTTCTATGAAAAGGTATTTCATGCCTTGTTTGCCATCTAAGTGACAATACTATCATCAAGTCCCATGGGGTGCCCTATTCTGATAGCCTAGACTGAATGCAACCTACAGATTAGCAGCTCTGCAGACCAAGAAATAACCCTTTTAGAAGGCAATGGAAATTTGTTCAGGAATATGTTTCTGTTAAACTCTTGATGTAAAGCTGATATTTATTAACAACTCATTTCTAGGATCTAATATCTAGACACGTAAACTTGAAATCAATGAGATGTTTTAGTATCAATCACCTGGATGGATCATTTGGTAAAGGGCACACCGTGCCAACAAGAAAAAGCAAGACTAAATATTGCAAAGCTAGAGAAGTATAAGTCTCTTTGCTATTTATAAAAGTTTTACATTAGATATTAACTTGAAATTGAGTAAAAGAAAGAGACGATCGGGGATTCAAAGTAACTCCATTTTTTGAAAATACTACCCTAGATGTGAACATGTGTAGGTGTCTTATGCCTCTCATTCTTTCAGATACATACAGACTGTCACTGCAGTCGCTAAAACAGATTCAGAGGTCTATTTCAATGAAAAGGCTCTCCTTTATTATGACAGACAGAGAACATTCTGTGAGCAGAGAAGCAATGTACAAAATTAAACCACTTGCAGGAAATAAAATACCCTGGTATGGTCTCTTTAAGGGAAATACCAATGCTTTTCCCCTTCTCCTAGCATGAGCATTCACATCTTTCATTCATCAACTTAAACACATTTTGTCTATAGAAAATTATTCTGTTTGGGTCATTCCCTTGCCAAATGCTGTTTTTCAGACTTCCATCACGGCCAAGACCAAAAAGATTCTTACTAATATCACTGATAGCTAAAACCTGGCAAGTTAGAGGCCTTGAGGAAGACAATAGGAAGACTTGGCACAGGCATTGTGTAAAACAAAATGATCAACATTTATAATTTTCCAGTGAACAGAAACCAACAGGCAATATTTTGATTTTATAGATGCTAATATTACACTTTCCAAATTTATCATAGAATACCTATAAGATCTGAGAGGTTTTTGCACTTTTTATTACAGTCAATGTCTCATGTCTCATAAGACTTAGGATTTAAACAAAAT
Organism: Homo sapiens; assembly: GCF_000001405.40. Classification (NCBI taxonomy): domain Eukaryota; kingdom Metazoa; phylum Chordata; class Mammalia; order Primates; family Hominidae; genus Homo; species Homo sapiens. The sequence continues at coordinate 79,099,640 of NC_000014.9, read as the reverse complement.
TATACATGAAAAAGTTTCATATAAATTTGGAATTTTTTATGATCCTAAATAAAGGTGGCATTTTCTCCACCTACAAAAACTTTAAAAAATTAGCTTTAGCTTCCCCATAACATTTTAAAAATATACTCCCTTATATAAATCTGACTTTACCATACAGTTTAGTTTGTCTAGGATAATTTATACCTGTTGACTTGGTAGAGTTATTCGCAGCTCTCCTTTTGACTCTCAGAAGTGTCTTGCTTTAAGTTATAAATTGTATGGCCACCCTACACCCCTCTGCCTACATTTTCCCTCAGGAATCCCATATATTTGCCCATGCCTCTCCCTCTCTGTGCAGTGAGAGAATTAGGGTCTAGAATTAAATCTCACAAAGAAATGACAGTTACTCAAAAAATATCTCAAAAAAATAGCAAACTCTGCTTATACACTTGCAAGTGACATACAATGTATCTAAAAAACCTACTCATAATTGTCCTCAAAACAAACACTATTGTATGGTTGCCTACTCACATCTATTCTTCTCTACCTGTTAAGTGAATTTTCCTTTAGCTCAGAAACTGGTTACACTGAACAAATTCTGTGCTCAGGAAAATGGGTCAGCCCCAGGACATGCATCATGATTAGGCTATAGTCATCATGGAAATTCAATTTTCCTGTGCAATCGATTGATTAAAGGGTGACTATGTATCCAATTTTAACCAATGAGACCTAAGGAGAACTCTACTGGAGGTTGGGTGGGATAGGAAGCGTCTGAAAAATTTCCTCCCTGAAAAATAGTGAGATACAGGGGAAAAATCTTTTTTCCCCTTTGGCCTTTGAATGTCAAATTGTAAATATATCTGAAGCTGCCACAGTCATCTTGTCTTATCACTGGTCAGGAATTCCAGTTCCTTGCTGATGAAAGCACTCCGATGAGTTTCCTCTTGCAGGCACCATTGTGGCATCCAGAAATCTCAATGGGAAGCACTGCTCTGAGTTCTAAAACTCTATAGTTTTGTTTGTGAGTGTAAGTATCAGACACTCTCAAGCCAAGTTAAATGAAAGCAACTTAAATTAGAGAAAGGATCTAAATTAGCCGAACTCAGCAACATTACAGGAAAAGTGTGGTAGGGTGAGAATGTGTGGGAAAGCACACAGCAAACCCGGAGCCAGAGTGAGGCCGTGAGCTTCTTTCCTGGGAAACTACCCAATGAGGAAAAGAAAAATATTTGCTTCATCTCCAAGAGATGATGCATGTATCTGCTAATTAGAGAAGAAAATGCAATGAGGCTGCAAACAAAATGAAACTGCTAAGTAAATAGGTTTTTTAAAGCATATGCAATAAAACATATATTTTTAAGGAACTGGGGTATCTCCCTGTTTTAAAGTAGAGGGATACATTTTCATTAAGCAAATCAGATTGAGATTGTTCTTGTATTGTAAACCTGAGATTGGCTAAGACGGGGTATATCCAGAGCAATATGGCCAGGGTGCTTTAATTCGACAATAATAAAGCATTTTAAATCCTAGCCAAAGTGACCATTATGGGTTGTCATCTTCCCAAGTGACTTTTCAAAGGGCTTGTTATTCCACTTTGCTTACAGTGTAGGTTTAGGCAGCATCCCAGGAGACTTCTCTAAAGGTGGCAAGCATTAACAAACACTTTGTTGGGGTATCCCTTCCCGAGAGGCAGCTGTAGGAGACTAATATAAGCCCAAACAACCTGCTGAGCACTTATTAGGAATTCGTATGTATATCATTTATTTGATCTTCAGGGCAGGTTTTGCAGTCAGCTATGGGGATTTTGCACAGCATTTCTGACATGGGGGACAAATTGAGAGAGTCCTATGTATCAGCACTGTGGGTAGTTATTGCACTGAGTTGCAGGGGAATACTACATTTACATGAAAAATATATACAGGCTTCACCTTCTAAACTTATATAAGATATATTGAAATAATTGTATATAGGGGTATTCATTTCTGCCATATCGATTGAATGCAATTTGGAAAATAAGAGGAAACACAGAATGAACCAGTGACACAAATTCTAGCCATGGAATGCTATCGGTTCATCCAGTTCAGCCACAAATCACCCATTCAGTAATGGTTTGGCCTCTTCCTTCAGAACTTTGTTCTTGTCAATTCAGCTTACATTGTCAGAAATTCTTTCTTGAAACTTAATGTAAATTCATTTCCTAATCTGCACCTGATGATGCTTCATGGTGCACAGCAGGATACTAGGTTGGCCATGCTTACCCTTGGAAAGCAGAAAGAGAATGGCTGTTCCTCTTTTTCTTCCAAGCTACAGAGCCAGCGCATTTTTAGATATTAGCAGCCGCCAAACTCCTAGGGTTACAGTAGGCTAGCTTTTCTCAAAACTGGGATATGAGAATAAATTTGCTTCTGGTGCTTTTTCTCCTCCTGTTTCTTCTGTTCTCAACTTCAGGCTATGCTTCATTTCTACAAGACCTATCTCAGTTGAGCATGTTGCAGGTGATAAGTGATAGATTATTTAGGGTGATGACCAACAGGATTTGAGGCTTAGAAGGAAAATCTAAAAACCTGGAAGCCTTTGAAGAGCTAAGAAATGAGTCTATATTGAAGAAATTCCAGGCACCATGGCAGAAAGTAAAAAAAAAAAAAAAATCATTTTGGCCAGGATTCCACCTTGGCTGAAAGCATAAAGGCTGCCATAAGGCTGAGATTCTCATTACTATATATCAAAATTATCTCAAAAATCTAAATTTCTCTGAAGCACACTCTCAGAACTAGATTTGTCAGTGGCAGAATGGGGTCGACATGAGAGATCAAGAATACCTGGAAAAGATTTAGAACTGACAGGTATGAAAGGCAAAACAGAAAGCTTGAGCAATAGGCTCAAGCAAGAAGGGTGATTGGGATCTGTTGGGGGAGGGGAATATGGGCAGCAGCAATAGAAACATGGTGCCAGGAGTCTGGAATAAGTATCAGAGCTCTGGCGATTGGGTCACAGAGAATGCTGGTGAGAGCCAAGTATGGTGGCTGATATAGTGCTAGTAGTTTTTTTTTTTTATTTTTACACATTATCTCAATTTTCACAAGAAGTACTGCATAATTCTACAGGGAAGGAGCCATGGCTCAGAGAAGTTAAAAACTGCCTGCAGTCTCATAGTTATTAGTGGTGGAACACAAGTAACAAGATAAGAAAATTATTACCTGCATGCTAGTTGATAATAACTTATGATTGCTCATTAAAAAAAAGAGAGGCGGAAGCCGGGCACGGTGGCTCATGCCTGTAATCCTAGCACTTTGGGAGGCCAAGGTGAGCGGATTGCCTGAGCTCAGGAGTTAGAGACCAGCCTGGGCAACACAGTGAAACCCCGCCTCTACTAAAATACAAAAGAAATTAGCAGGTTGTGGCAGCATGTGCCTGTAATCCCAGCTACTCGGGAGGCTGAGGCAGGAGAACTGCTTGAACCCGGGAGGCAGAGGTTGCAGTGAGCCGAGATGGTGCCACTGCACTCCAGCCTGGGTGACAGAGGGAGATTCTGGCTCTACAAAAAAAAAAAAGAATAGAATAAAATTAAAAAATCAAAAAAGAGAGAGGCAGGGAAGGAGGAGGGGCCTCAGGAAGAAACAGAAAGAGACAGAAAAAGCAATTAACTAACTGGGAATATCACAACTGGGAGACTGGTAAAAAATTTTTAAAATTTTCTAGAATCTAGCATCCAGCATAGGAAGTACTCTTGTGCTTGTTCAAATGCACATGAATTTTTATAACAAAATACTCATATATAGGTTTCCAGTAATTTTCAAATTCTAAAACAATAATCAGTAGGAAGGAAGGAAATATTTTCCCTAGGACATTAGGGAGAAAGTAATAAAATCAAAGACAACTTTTCAAAATCCAGAAGGCAAAGTAACCTTCGCAAGAATTCCAGTGGAGGTGTACAGATAATTAGGGAGAAAAACTACTTTGAGAATATCAGTATGGAGAAGCTATTTTTCTTCAAATCTCACATGTATTTTCTAGACATTATAGGTAGTACTTCTTCCCACAAATCGATATTGTTAACTGTTTTATCTTCAACACCTAAAGCATTGCCTGGTAAAAAAAAAAAATAGTAGGTGCTCTGTAAATATGTTATTGCATTCAGAGATGAATAAATGTATGAAGGCAAGCACGTGTGAATGAATGAATGAATGAATGAAGTTCCTTGATAACTCTCTAGTCTGCCAAGCAGGGGTTACAGTTGTTGAGCATCCAAAACTTTAGCTCGTTGCAAATGAAAGATTTAGATTTATAAGAAGGGAAAAGCATAGCTAACTTAGGTCTAAGTCTATATTTTATAGAACATGAGGGAAAGAAAGAAATTATAGATTCAAGTGCTAAATAAGAATAATAATTTATAACGGCCTATAGCGGCAGCAAGTTAAATTGGTAAAAGCTCACTGTAGATACCCAAGTCCCTACTGCTACCATTAGGGAGAAAATTAAGCAGGAGTAAAGTGGCTGTCTCAGCAGAAGCATACAACAGAGGACAGCCACATTAGCATAATGCATGCCAGTCAGAAATTATGAATACTCCTAATCTCTGAATGCTTAGGAGTTCAGTTACATTCAACAAAATGACCTGTCCATTTTGATGCATTGATATTTTTCCCCATTTCACACACACACACACACACACACACACACACTCTCTCTCTCTCTCTCTCTCTCTCTCTCTCTTTCTCTCTCTCAGAAGCCAAATGTATGAGCAGGAATTTCTTGTTTAAAAAGGCTCATTTTTTTAATCATCGATATTGTCAACAAATCTTCTCTATTGCTTTCAACTCTACCCCAGTATTTTGCCCCTCAATACTTGATCTCCAGAGGAAATTCAGTAAGGCTTGCTGGAGTCTAAGAGAGAGCTAATCATCAAGGCTGCAAATCTACAGCTTTTTAATGGATATTTACTGTCATTCAAAACAAAACAAACAAACAAACAAAAACTCAGACTTCTTTTAAAACCCTAACAGTCCCATATTCCTTCAAGGGTAAAAAATACAAATATATTGAACAGACTGCCGTCAGAAGATACTAATCCCTTAGAACTGTATCAATAATTTAGATGAAGTCACAATTGCATAAGGTTTGAAAAGAGAATAAAAAACTTTGCAGAACCAAGGGACTTTAGACCGAGTAAGAGGCATGTATTCCATTGTGATTCAATCGCATCTACTTTGCTAAATCCACTCATTCTTACAAAGGGTTGCTTTAAAAATGCACACATACAGAAGCACATTTTAAGTCTTCACCTTTCTGCTTTAATAAAAATGGATGCTTATGCTTTGTGGTCCTTGCCTTTGGAGTGGCACTAAAAAGAAGGCTAAAACAGAGGATACAGATGAAACCAAACCCAAGAATTCAGAAGCAAGGTAAGCCACGGTAGGCAATTCAGGGGTTAGCTCTACCCCACTGCTTAGGACACTGATTGGTAATCCTGTAACTCTGCCATGTCCCCTTCTAACCATTTCTCCCCGGCAGAGATCAGAGCAGTCCAAGCTGGGCTGTTCATCTATTTTCTCTGTCCTTTACCCACTAACTGACCTCATTTAACCCTTTATTTCTTTATCTCAGCTCTGAGTAGACAAACCAAGTGAGGACAGGAGAGCTTGACTTAGGGGGCTCCTGATAAATGCATATTTGGGTTGAGTTGCCCTGATGGTTCATAGCAATCTCTATCTCACCCCTGCAACCCCTTTATTTGAGAGGGGAAAAAAAGAAAAAAGAAAAAAAAAATCAATCAGAATGATATATGACTCGTCAGTTCTGAACTAAAGCCCGGTCATGTAGAAAATAGACCAGGCCCCATACTCTGAGTCCAAAAGATAGGGTGAGCAAGCTCCAGCCTCAGGCACAATTGTCTCTTGAAAACAAAACAATGAATGCACACATGTATATCCCCCTAGAAACAGATATTTATCTAACCTCTGCACCAAGTGCTTTCAGTTTTGCAATGTCACCCATGGTTTATGCTGTTTCTCAAAGTTGCCACACTTAACCGGTGTGCTTAGGCAGTTTAGTAGGCTCGCTCGCAGAAAGCAAGAAATGACTTTTGAAAACATGCACACTTCTTTGGTCCCAGGGCCATTCCCTTAGTTAAAGCCATCAACATCACTCACCCCAGCATCCGCAGCAGCATCCTAATGGTGTCTTTTTCCTTTTCCATATTGTTCTCCATTGTATAAATCTTACAGATCAGGTCCCTTTGCTTCTTAAAATTTCTCAGTTGTTTCCCATGACTCTCAGAATAAAGCTTAAACTCCTTGATGAGGACTTCAGGCCAAAGAGATCTGCCTTACTTACGTTTTCTGGGTAGCACTTGCTTTACCCTTTAAGTCCCCACACCTGGCTAGATTCTAAGCATCCTTCCATATTCCAATTAGATGTCTTCTTGTCCAGGAAGCTTTCCCTCACCCTGTCAAGTCTGACACAGAAGCTTCTACATTTGGCTGGTCAATGTACTAATCATACTTTCTTGAAGTTGCCTCTTTCCTTGATCTGTAGTATCCTTTGACAATGAATGGACTGTATGTTATTGTTTCACATTTTTAATGTTCACTGTCTGCCCTATGAATAATGGTATAAATATTTGTTGAGTGTGAATAAATGAATGTGTGAATGAGTGAGTGAATCCAGATGACATACTCTGGTTCTCTGGACACACTCATAACCCGCAACTCTAGGATCTGCAAAGCCCAGCAGTACTCAGGGTTAGACTCCTCAGAAGGTAACAGGGTGGGGACCCAGTTGGGCAGAGACTTTGGGGAAGATCTTTGATCTTTTTACTATAAAACTGGGATGAAAGGAGACCCAAGGGTCTCTCACCATGCAAGTCCTTCATGAACAATGGAGCAAGGTGGGAGTTTCTCACACTCCTTCCTGGGGCTCATTTAGCCATAAAACCAAGCTATCATGTTGTGGTAGAAACTGGCTAGCTGATTTCAGTCACTTATTCACTACAATCTAGAAGCATGTATTGAGAAAGAAGCTTCAGCAAAACTTCAAATTGTATTTGACTTTGAATTTAAATGGAACTTACATATTTCTACAAGTACAGACAGGGAGAGATATCCAGGACATATGTTGACTGTATACACCATTTATTAAAACTAAAACTTTTAGGGCAAGGGTGTGTGTGTGTGTGCATGCACGTTCCTGTTTGTAAAGTCAGAGCAAATGGTTTTTGACATCTGCACATTGAAATGTTAACAGTGGTTCCCACTTGAGAGGCGACTAAGGTTGCAGATAGTCAGAAAGGACTTCTATGTTTTTCTTGATATTCTTCATTACATTTTGAAACCTTTTTCAATAGCATGTATTAATCATGTGATTACAAAAGAAGAGGCAGGGAGAGAAAAAATAGAGAGGTCTCTGATCTTCTCTTTAGTTCTGCTGAAAAGAATAGTCCTGTATCCTAATAGTCAACTGTGATCCCGTTTCAAACGTGTTCCCTGCATATTAGAACTGGTGGCCATAACTGGAACACACATCATAAATCTTTCACAACTTTAATTTCATCTCAAGTTTGATGTAGAACTGTCTATTATAAACAACCTTAAGATAGAGAAAATAGAAAACAATAGACGAACAGAAAAATATGCAGCTAATTTATCATCCTTTAGATTTCCTTTTTAATAATAACTTTATTTTTTTCTAGATCAGTAGAAATCACATTCAGTTCTACGTGTTGGTTTAGTTGCAAGTGAACAAAGAACCTCAACAAAAATATAAACATAACAAAAGTGGACACTTTAGAAAAGATTAACATGGATTTTTTTTTTGTCCCCAGAGCACTGGAACAAACAGTTCTCCCTAATCATTCACTTTTGTTCCTACTTGGTAAATGGTGCCACCTTACTTCAGAATGTGTGATTGCAAAAGTATGGGCAGAAGCCCTGTCTTGGGGTCTCCTGGGGTACTAACTAGGTCTTTATGATCATATATCTCCTGGCTATAATTATCCTGACACCGTCACCCACTGACTTAAACAATCACCTTTACAATAATACCCTCAGCATGCAGAAAGCCCCTGATTATGTAAGCTCCAAGCAGGAACACCTGGGACAAAGCGCCCCATGGGGAACCTCTCAGATAAGCTACTTGATTTCTTAATCCTTCTGTCCTTCGGTCAAATCAGCTGGAAAGCAGGAATAGGGAAAGGGGTGGGAAAAACCTCCTGAGGAATCAGAGGCTGAGTCTGAGCCAGATGCAACTTCTATTTTGGTAATAAAATACTACTTGTATTAACTCCTCTTGATTTTTACATACAGGTAAAAAGAATATGGTATGGAGCTTCTTATTACCTGTTAGATCAATGCAAATTTCTTATCTTGACATTCCAGACCTTATATAGAATACTCTTAGCTTTCTTCAGCCTTTTCCATGGTCAAAGTTTTTCAAATAACTATGTACCAGGCAATAAGCTAAGTGCTTTTATAACATCTAGTGCACCTGACAAAAAAAAATGAAATTGATCAAGACAGAATGTTTTAGGGGTAAAGGAGGGAGAATGCATATTCCATTCTGTCTGCTTTGGACCACTTTTTTTTTTTTTTTACTGAGACAAAAGGATTATATGGTACTGTTTTCTCACAGAAAAGGAATTTGGGCACGAGTTCTCGTAATACAGACACCTCCTTGTGAGTTCCCTTTTGCTCTTGGCCACATGGTTTGTGTGCTCTGGGACATCTGCTGTTTTCTGTAGCTCCTTTATCTCCAAATTTGGGGCTTTATGTTTCCATTAAAAATTCTAGGCTGTAAATGCTGGGAAATTTTCAGTCAACATCCATGACAGGACTTATTTCCTTCAAATACCATGTATGTTTAGGCAGTGCTATGGACTTAATTATGTGATCTGCATATTTGGTATCACTGAGCCCCTACTATGCATTATGTAGTGTGGGGAATAAAGTCTGCTTTCTAAAGAGGCTGGAGAGTTGGACTTTCTTCTGCTGACAGTTGGTGGATGGCTGGGAATGAAGATTTTGAATAGTGCATAGGATGGGGTAGGGGTGGGGCCAGATATGAAGCCATGGTGACAGAAGCACTGGGGAAGGAGAATAAAGCAACTAAGAGAGGTTTGTAGGGCAAGGTGAAAAACAGATGCATGATCACTTGATGGGTAAAATTAGAGAAGTGAAAAGCAAAGGAACAAGATGAGAAAAGAAAGAACAAACCCAGGGTGTAACTGGAAGATTGATTTCATGGCAAAAGGGAACTTATCTTATATGCATATAACTTGCTATGTATGATAGCCAGGATAATATCTTCTTCTCTAAAAGGGAAAGGAAGAATTTCCAAAGGCCTAAGGAATTTTCATCTAATGCTATACACATCTAGAAATGCATACTCAGAGACTTTAATAATCCCTATGTTATATTAACTGGGAAGCAATGAGAAGTCTAAAAGCAGCTTTTCTGCATAAGGGGATGAGTATTATCATAGCTAATCTAGAACCAGGAAAGACAAGCCCTTAGCCAACATTTCTTATTATTAAAAAGAGAAGGTGTTTCCAAAGTTACAGTACAGTCAGTCCTCTATAAAATTGATATATAAATACCTATCCATGTTAGCAAAGGAAAGCTGATTCTATTTTTATAGCAATCCAAAATGTGTTAGTTTAGAGGCCTCAAGGAAGTACTTGAATATGAGTTTTATGATTATTTAAAAAACACAATCCTAATGCAAAATTCCTACTTTATTTATGCTTCAGATTGAGAGATGAAAAGTCATCATTTTAATTCAGGTCAAATAAGCATTCCTGAAAGAAGCCAAGAGGTGAGCTGGAGTTTAAGATATTTCTCCATGGAATTTTCTGTGTTTCTTTCAAGTCCACTGAATGATGCCAAAAATGTGCAGAAGAAGAAAGATCTTGGCTTCTCTCTGCACGAGTTTGAGGGTGTGAATGAAAAGTTCTGCAGTCATCGTCTCCATGGGAAAAAAAAAATCTGATTTTAGTAACATCTTGCCATATACAAGAGTTATTTTTTGAAAAAGTTTCTAAGCTTGTCAAAATATTCCTAGGTGCGAGTTTAGTGTTTCTTGAAAAACTGAAGAGGCAGAAGGTAAAAAAGCAAACGTTCATGACTATGTTTGGCCTTTCTCATTCGTGTATGAAATAACTGTTGAACAAGGAAGAAAGATAAAATTCCTATCTGAAAAGATAGTGCCCACATGTCTCTGACTGTTCCATTCTCAACTATGTTTTTATTCCTCCTCTTCCTCCTCTTTGATTACTTGATTTCTTCTCATCCATGGAAGCTCAAAGCAAACAACCTTCTTACCAAAGCACCTTCCTTGTTTGCTATCAACTAGCATTCTCGGGAGCTCAAAGCAGTTTTTTCCTTACGTTTCACTTATTTGGTATGTAAATTATAAATATATTGTTAGGCAATCAAATCATATTTTCTCTATAAGTTTACTAAGACTTTGAAGCAAGGGGTACATGTCTCTTACCTGCATGGCTTTGTGAACAGCAGCAGCTCTATTGACTTATCCCCTCTGAGACAAAACAGGTGGGACATAGGGAGGATTATAAAACACAAGAAGCTCAAGAAGGAGTTGAATTCCTCTGCCGCTTCCTGCTACCAACACTCTATCCCCACAAAATCTGAGAGTGATCTGTTAGCCATGAAACCATGTCTTTGGGGGTTGGTGTCATAATTATCATTAAAGGGCTTAGCTGTAGGAAATGGCCTTGCTTTCTAAATTTCACTGAAATAGCCTACATGTCCAGAACAATTAAGAATTATATAGGTTAGAAAAAAGTGTCTTTTAAAATTAAATAGTTGTGCTGTGATTCAAACTGCCTTGTTTCCAAATATCCATCCTTTTAACCAGGAAGGCACATTTTCAACATGACATAAAAAAAGGGCTGATATAACAAAGAAATTAAAGAATATCAAAGCCAACACAGTAAAAAGTAAGTGTTTATATGTTTACATTTAAATGACTAGTTTACCCTCTTTTTTATACAAACTTTGAATATATTCTAACCTAATCCTTCCCTTCCGCAGGTACTACATCTGAGGAACTGTTAAGAGACTTCTTAAGCCCAAGTCATAGGGAAAATCCAAGAAATTTGTTTTTCTTAAGGAGGATAATTATAATAAAATATTCAAACATATTATACACATATACATAGATATATAAGAACTCTGGGGAAAGGGAGAGGCCTTTAAAAGTGTTCAAACCTTTGCTGTCATCCTTTTCTGTCTGGGCTAAGTTTAGAATGATGTTGCTAACTAGAGGAGGTCAAAGTTGGGCACAGTCATTTACCACCTTTAGCAGGAGGTAGTAAAGGGCTCCCATTTCACCTGGGGCTTCAAATCACTTTATTTTAAGCTGATCTTCAAGGAGAAGGGTAAGATGGTGAGCAGAATGAGAGAGGTTCAAACAATTTTTCTTATTGAGTGGAAGCTGAAGCACTTCAAAGCTCAGATAGTTCAAGTGATTTATCTGAAACATTGCAACAGATTTGGCAGAAGTAGGCAAAGGATCTGGTGATTCTTTTCTCCCTGGCCTATCATGCGCCATTGCCCTCCATGTAGCAAAGGAGAACCTAGCATTGTTCTTGAAGGGGTTCATCCTTTTACTTCAAGTACCATTGTGAGCTTTGAGCAATTTCCAATCATTCTGACGTTGCTCCAACTCATCCAAATACTGGTGTTGCTTTAACCAGAAACAACTAGTTGTTATTTCCCAAACAAGCAGGCGATTAATTCTCACATTCTCTCCAAGTGCAACTGAAAGCATCTTCTTATTCTCTCTCCAGAGGACTCTTCCAGGTAAGTTCTCAAACATAAAAGATTTTTTAGCTAAGATGGCAGCGGTTGCCTGATATTTCTTGCTCAAAGAGTTGTGCGTATGCTTCTTTAAAAGAATGCGGTAAAGATGTGAGGGAAAGGGGAGCATTGGTTTTGATTGGGTTAAATGGAACTGTAATGAGTTAGACCTCCTGAGAAAATGGAGAGTTATATATTTTCTGCTTTACTCTTCTACTTGAGTGTTCCCCCTTTTCTGTACCAGGAAATATGCCCTCTTCAAGACTCTAATAAGGTATCACCACTACCAAGAAGTTTTCCCTATTCATACCTGGCACTGTTGGTTCTGTGTTTCCATAGAGCAGAGCTCTGTTCATTTAAGTCATAAGGCTTGCCAGTTGTTATAAATATGTACTTTCCCCTTTAGAATATTATTTTATCAGGCAAGGTGACAGCTCTTCCTTGTCTGTTGTGCCGACTTCCTATTGACTCCACCGGGGATGGCAGCATGTTCAAGAGGCTGAAGGAGAGACCCAGAGCCAGCAAATGAGACCTGGGGTTTTACTGGGGCCTTGCATACAGGGGAGAGAGTCCAGAGGTAGCAGGCTAGACAGGAGAACCACTTGCAAAAGGCAGGCAGTTTACATCACATTTTCACTTAGTACCCTCCTCCTAACCACGTCCGCTTGGAAACCTTCATTTAATCCAAAACAAAGGGCCTCAACTCCTTGTATGGCCCATGTTCCAAGGGACAGGCCAGGGGATCAGATGTTCCTCGTAGACAAGGAATTGATCTTCAGGTTGGCCACTTCTGGGTTCCTTAGCTCAGAACTCCCACCAACATTCAGGTGTGTCTGCTGTAAAGTTATTGTTGCTCTCTTAAGTTATTGTTATCAGGTGTGTTTACCATAATCACCTGAGCTCTTACAGACAATTGACATAATTAAGAACTGCTTCTTTTACCAATTCCCATTCAAATGTTTTAAAAGCTTTTTACTTTCATAGAACTGTAAAAGTAACCTTTGCCTGTCATCTCCATGAAGAACATCTAACATCTTGTAGTTACAGATCAAGTATAAGACTTTTCATACGGAAGTCCAAACTTGTTTCATTTTAATTTTATAATTAAATATTAGTTTTATTAGGAAAGCGAATAAAAAGAAGCATTGAGTAGAAACTATCCCCACAGGTCCTTGAAAGTTAAGGAAAAGCCTTCGACGTATCCTTTCATTAAATACTGACCTCATAACTCAAGAATCTGTGATGACTCTGCAATGTCCCTCAGATCAAGTGCAAAGTGGTCAACTGAGTAATAATCTCTATGTTACCTATGCTAATTTAAAACACCACAATTTAAAATGAGAGAAAGGATTCAAGATTGGATATTACTCTATGCTATCCCCTCAGCTTTCCCCCAGCATATAGTTTCTAGAGCATACAGTAGGAAGATTAAAACCTACTCTCAAGAAATTACAAGGGAAGCTTAAGATCCCAAGTTAAAGCGAGGGATGGCCTAGTAGAGAGGCAAATGGTCTAAAAATAGAAAGATTTGGGTTTCCTTCCTACCTCTGCCTCTAACCAGATACACGGCCTTGAGAAAATGACTTTGCCTCAGGAGTCCCCAGCTCCCTATCCTGTGCAATATAGGAGATGGGCTAAATGACCTGTAGAATTTCATCCAAGAATTTATTCCCTGTGGCAGGATGACATCCTATCTCATGTCATCCTACCGGAAGCTCTCTGCCCCCAATACCAAGCCACCAAGTGTTTATAGTATTAGAATCATGAGACTGGTCTTTAAAAAGTAGAGAGAAATGGATGAATCTAGAAGCGCTGCAGCTTTTGCACCTGTTCCTTAGGGATCTTAATTATGCATCAATCAACTCCAGCTCAAATGAGAGATGAGAACATGAACTTTTTTGCTGATCTCAAAGGATAAGCTTCAGAGGCAAGGTCATCAGAATCATTCCAGCTGAACAGGTAGTTTTATCCGCCCATAGGGAAACCATTCAAATTTTAATCACTTCTTTTTCCTCATCATACTCAGAGGCTTCTAGAAAACTCCAATATGAATCTTTTCTGGAAAAGTGTGTTACTCACTTATTTCAATAGTCTTGCATTCAGACTTTTTCCCTCTCTCTCCTCGTTTCTTCTCGCCATCTAATTCTACGTATCATTCCCTATTTTTTGTGCTTCCTTTCCCTTGGGTAGGTCTGATGTGGTCTAAAAAAAATCATTCCATAAGCCCAAGTCATTAAACTACTAAGTTAATGCTAGAAATGAAAATTATTGATTTATATCTAGGAGGTAAGTTTGATTTTTCCTTTTTGAAGAAGACCATTTTCCCATTAACAGTAAAAATATGTTACTTCAATTTCTTCTCCAGTAATACACATTGAAGCGTTAAAAATAAAATGGGCACGTTCAAAAACTTCTTTATTATGACATCACCAGAAAATTATAATATAATTCAAATAGCTTTAATAGTGATTTTAATCAAAGTAATCTATGAAATAAATGAACTGTTATCTTGACTGACATTGATAGTGCTAAGGGATACTGCTTAACTTTTCAATGCTGAAGACAACAAATTAAACAACTATTTAACAGTAGGTAACCATAAATGACAATTAGCCATATAAATGTATTTAATTTACATACTTTAAAACTTCGAACAAAAACCAACATGACTCCTTATTTTTACTGTATAACCCAGTGACTTCAACAAATACAATTCAAATAAGTGCTTAGGATTCCATCCCAGAAAACGAACAGCTGCAGATAAAAGAGGAAACCAGGTTTCCCAAGTTTAACCAGGAACCCTCTAGACTCAAGCAGGTGCCAGGCATAATCCCAAAAGCAGGAGGCAAATAAAACGTCTCGTCAGCTCTTAAGCCTTAATGCATTTTACCTTAAACATTTACATTAACAGATGGTCCCCAACAGTCTATAAACTTACTTCTAAGTTCATTTCTATGTCACTATCAACCCCATTTACCACTATCCATGCAGTAGAAAATGCCACAAGGGGTTTAAACCAGAACAGTAAGCAGAAGGGACCAACTCACTGAAGCAACTGGTGTCACCTACGAACATGTGCTTGACCTTTGTTTTTAAAAAAATCAATACGATTGATGACTGGAGAAATAACAAAAATAAGAACCAACCAAAGTCACCATATTTGACCTATTAGAAGGTACAATAGGGGCATTTACCTATCACCCTGAATGCCAAAATGCCTTCTATTTTCTGATTTTCCAAACAGCAGAGGGGCATAGGAAATGAAGAAGCCATAGATGATTACAGATGCCAGGAAAGAATAATTTTAAGAAATAAATGTAAAGATGACAATTTTGTCTCATGTGGGGAGTGACAGTACTTTTTTATTATTTATTAGGCTTTAATGATAGTCAGTTGGCAATATTTTTAAATAATATCCCTTTTGTTAGACATAGTCCAACATATTATTGGCTTAGAGTTGACTACTGGAATTTTTGAAATTTTATTTTTGTAAATTATCATGCAGTGAAATTGAAGGGTTCCTTTTCCTTCTGGTGTATAGTTCTATGAATTTTAACACATGTATAGATTTATGTAACCATCACCACAATTAGGATATAGAACATTTCCATCACTCCTCAAAACTTTCCCTTGCTGGCCAAGTGCAGTGACTCACATCTATAATCCCAACATTTTAGGAGGCTGAGGCATGAGGAACACTTAAGGCCAGGAGTTTGAGACCAGCCTGGGCAATATAGAGGCCCCCATCTCTACAAAAAAAAAAATAAATAAATTAACCAGGCATGGTGGTACAGGCCTGTAGTCTCAGCTACTCAGGAGGCTGAGGTGGGAGGATCGCTTGAGCTTAGGGGTGGGGGTCGAGGCTGCAGTAGGCTGTGATCCTGCCACTGCACTCCAGCCTGGATGACAGAGCAAGATCCTGTCTCAAAAACAAACAAATAAACAAAAAACTTTCCCATGCTATCCTTTTAGCAGTCACTATCGTTCATATCACAACAAAACTTAGCTCAGATAGTTGTAATTCTCCCTTCCAAAGGAGATTTAATAAAAACTGTTTTATGTAAAACCCCTGATGACTTTTCCTACACTTCTCTACAGTTTCACTTATTTTTGCCTTCAAGATTCTAGAAATTTTCCAGTCACAAAATACTCTACTGGGATCTTGAAGAAACATCTATCAACAGCAAAAGTCACATTATCCTATTTTTTACATAGGAAAACATGACAACGATAACAGCGAAACCATTTTTTACATTGTAGTCTCTATTCCCTGGGTCCCCCACTTGCACACATGCCAGCAATGGTGGAAAAAGGAAGGAAAAGATGAATCCAGTTGACGGTTTCAAGTACATAATGTAAACAGCCTAACAGAATGCTTGGAACATTACAAACGCTCAATATAAGTTTCCTTCCTTCTTGCTTCATTTCTAGGGCTCTATTTTCAATCCAGTGTTTTCATCTGACCTTTGTTTTTGAGAATGTACAAGACCCATTGCTTCTGGCAGGGATCCTTTCCCTCGTGTGGTTCCCATCCAGATTTACAGATCAGAATTTCAAACTAATAGCTTTAGTGAAATCAAATAAGTCTTCTTCACTCTGCCAATACTCCTGACAGAGTGACTGGCAATGGAATGGTTATTTTTACAGTAATGCTATATGCTGCAGGAAAAAGACTTCTGTGCCTCAGGAACAACAAGCTTAGACTTAGTACAACATCTCACACAGTACCACTGATGGAAAATAAATGGGAATTTGTCATCTTTTGTTTGGAGATGCTGCTGTGAAGCATGTCACCATCCATTTAAAAATGAAGGAGGCAGAAAAAATGTTGTATCAATGTCTCTTCCGCCATCCCGTGTTGTGAATGCAAATGGCAATGGTGTAGTGTAGCAATCCTGTCCCCCTAGTGAAAAATCCCATTTATCTGGTACTCTGAATATACAAGAGAGATGATGTCAATGTGTATCTGGTCTTTATTTGAATATTAAGAAATTAATTTAATTATCTGAGTTTGAATTCCTGAATGAATTTGCCAGAAGTAAATCTGAATTTTTTAAAGTTTTTTATGACATGTATGCAACTTGTTTTGCTTGGATGTCCCTACATTAGAAAGATTTCCAGTATTCATGCCTGATGTAACGTGCATGATAAGGTGGAAAAAGAACTCATTTGGAAGACAGAAGCTCTAGGTATTGTTCCACTGATCATTCTGTGTTCAAGCCATTTAACATCTCTTGGCCTTAGTTTCTCATGTGTGGCAGGGACTCAGACTGGAGATAATCTGTAACATCTCTTTTAGTTCTAAATTTCCATGATGCTCACCATGACTCTGATTATTGCAAACTCACAACGTTTTGGTGCTATGATTCTGAGAACTCCTTCTTTTGAGAGCCCCTGTGCCATCCTCACCAAAAATGGTGCTGTGTCTACACACACACACACACACACACACACACAATTAGTTTGCATACACAGGAGTTTGGCAAATGCAAAAATGTTTTCACTCCTTTTAAAAATAGAAGAATGAAGCCAGTGCCTTTCCTTTATATATTACTTCCATCTGATGAGGTGTGTATATAAAAGGTTTAGGGGTGCTCTGTCAAATAAATTTATAAAACACCTAAATTTTACGTACATGAAGATGTTAGTAGAAAACAGCTTCTTGAAACATGTGATATATAGATGTATATATGTATAGGTAGTTTTGTATATGTTTTAAGTGGATATATAAATATATTTATGTATGTATATATAAGTATGTGTATATATGTATATATATATGTATGAAACATATATATGTATACACATATGTATGAAACATATATGTTTATATATTTATGCCTTCCCCTCTCTTGAACATTAAATTCAAATCCAGAGAATTCTTTGGATCTATTATTTGGGAGACAGGGAGACTGTTTTGTCCTCATGTCTTTTCAAACTATTTGTTCTATCTATATGGCATTGGTATTGACAATCCAGGGAGGCATACCGCAGTGCCTAACAGTAACCATAAAGATCTTGCTTTTTAACAAACATGGAATATTTTAGATCATTTTTGGTTTACTATGAGGAAAATGGGTGTCTTCTTTCTAATTTTTTGTCTGCCATAGAACATTGCTCATACCTCTATAAGAGCATTTTTGTACCGTATAGTAATTTATCTTTTTGACATCTGTCTCCTTCATTAGACAAAGAGCTTGGACACATCATATCATTTTTTTTTTTTTTTTTTTGAGATAAAGTCTCACTCTGTCGCCCAGGCTGGAGTGCAGTGGCGATCTTGGCTCACTGCAACCTCTGCCTCTGGGCAGGGTTTAAGTGATTCCTCTGCCTCAGCCTCCTGAGTAGCTGATACTACAGGTGCATGCCACCACACCTGGCTGCTTTTTTGTATTTTAGTAGAGATACGGTTTCTCCATGTTGGTCAGGATGGTCTCGGTCTCCTGACCTCATGATCTGCCCGCCTCGGCCTCCCAAAGAGTTGGGATTACAGGCGTGAGCCACCGCACCTGGCTGGACACATCATATCTTTTCTCACTCTGTTTTCATTAACTAGTGCAGTGCCAGGCACAGATTAGGAAAGTATTCTGGAATAAATGTTAACCACTTGGGATTTCAAGTCATTCATTTGGTTTTAGTATGTGCACCTACACTTGCTAACTATAGTTTCACTGGATCTCAATTGTATTATCTACAAAATAAGGATGATAAAGGAACTAACTTCATTGATGGTTCTGAAAAGTTAGTGAGATAATAGACGCAAAATACTTAGCACAATGCTAGGCTTGTATCTACTAAATGCTAAAAAACGTGCTGGTTATGCTTTTGCTTAGGGGATGGAGAAGGGAAGCAGAGATTCAAAAACCAAAACAAAACAAAAAAAAGTTAATGGGGGAGGGATAAGAAGATAAACCACCGGATTATATAATGTATATTTCCTTCTGGCCAAAAGACAACTGACTGTGTTTGGACCACTAAATCTTCATCAATCAGGAAATTCCAGTTATAGTTGGGGTAACTGCCAAAAGAAAAAGAGGCAAAACAAAGACCATGGCAAGCGCACGGAGAAGTAGGACAAGCATTTGGCAAAACTCTGTTTTGGAGGCTTGAATAAAATAATTGTCACAGGCTTCCTTCTTTTCATTCATCAAGCTCTTGTAGGATATAGGAATTGAGGAAATTACCACTATGATATGGTAAATGAAAGCAAAGGAAGCTGGTGAGGTATCTGAAACATATAACGACAAAGGAGAAAGAAGCTACATGAACTTTCTAGAGATCTAACAATGATAAGAAGTGGAAAAGGAGGTGAGAAAGTGGTATATATCCCCTATATACACTCTGGGGGAAAAGTGTGTGTGGGAACTGCCATTATTTTGGGGATCTCCCACAAATTTTAACTCCTTCTCAAAGAGTCTCCATCTATGGTAAAACAATCTATTCTACTTGGTAACTCTAGTTCAAACAAAATAGTTTATTTAGATCTCTTTGATCTTTTAACACCATTTTCCAAATCCTTCCATGTCTGCTTCTGCCCAGTGTTTATTATTAGGCAAGAGATCAAATTGAATTTGCTTTGAAATTGAGTGAGTCAAGGACACTTTAGACGCTTAACCTCAGTAGAACCCAGGGGCCTTAAAGTGGCCAGTTTCAGATTTCCTCACAAAGAAATCCACAGTCCTCTCTAGCTACTTGCTTCTGGCTGCCCCCAGCTGTCTCCCAGGAAGTCTCACATGGGAATGATTAGGAAGAGGTTCCACTGTTCCTTCAGGTGGTTTAATCAGACTGAATGGCATAATACTCTTAATACACTAACAGCTCCTTGTTAAGTAAATGGTGATCTAGTTTGACTTTTTCTTTTGAGATGGAGTCTCACTCTGTCTCCCAGGCTGGAGTGCAATGGCATGATCTCAGCTCACCACAACCTCTGCCTCCCAGGTTCAAGCATTTCTCCTGCCTCAGCCTCCTGAGTAGCTGGGATTACAGGTGTGCACCACCACGCCCGGCTAATTTTTGTATTTTTAGTAGAGACAGGGTTTCTCCATGTTAGTCAGACTGGTCTCGAACTCCTGACCTTGTGATCCACCCGCCTCGGCCTCCCAAAATGCTGGGATTACAAGTGTGAGAAACTGCACCCTGCCCGACTTTTTCTTTTTGATCTCTTTACCTGCCTATTGGCACGTCTTCCAAAGAGTAAAAGAGGCAGAAACATTAATACCAATCTATTATTCTTTTTTGGAATATCTCTGGACAAAACTTTATAGTAGGTAAGTTTGAAAAAAAATAGCTATAATGGGGCTTAAAACATACATTTGAAGATTTAAGTTCTCCATATCACCATTTATCTCACTACAAGGTTTTATCAAGTATTAACCTAATATAGTAAGGTAATGATTTACTACACCATAGAATATACACTTTTGGTTTGTCTAAATGTCTTTTTCTTCATGGAGAAACCATTATTTCAGTGATATATTTATATTTTCCTTCCAGTTGTTATTTTAAAATGAGAAAAGGACATGCTTAAAGTATTTTACTATGACAGTTTTCTAATCAGTCTGCAGTTTCACAAAGGAATTTATTTGCACAAATTCCAAGATTCTAGTCCCCCTTATCAGTTATCTTTGCTTTAGTAACGTTTGCCTGGTAATTCACCTAAAGTATCTTTCTATAGGCAATGGCATCCTCAACAAGAAAGGGAATGTGAAACTGAATACAGGTACCAGGAATCAGAAGAGTGCCAGGAAGAGAATGATCTTTGTTCTGCAGTAGCAGAGTTGCCTCCTGAGGAGCTGGAGAAAGCAGGCTTGCTTGTGTCACTAAAAGAAGCAATGTTGACTCAAGGAGAAATACACAATGCCATGAATTATAAGGACTGGTGACAGAAAATGAGTTAGGTTCTCTCTTTCATCTTCTTCTGGTATCCCTACACAAGAATCATGGGCTAATAGCATGTTAGGGCTGGAAGGGGCTTATAGAACATCTAGTATAACTTCCTCTCTTTATTGGTGTTGCAAGTGAGGCCCAAAGAGAGGAATTTACCTAACGTGCAGCAGTGCTGCAGAAAATTCAAATTCTTTACTTCTAACTATTCCCAGAATTGGTCATTCATCTCTTCAAAATATATGTGTTGGTGTAAATAAAATTATACCCAAGGGGGTTTTTAATCTCACACAACTATATATCACATGGCAGGGACAAACATTAACAATCAGAGCCAAGTTGTTACTATAGTCAATAAATTGAATAACTTATTTTACCACCTCTTATTCTTCTACCTTTTTAAAAAGTGTATATATCAAAACAAGCTTCATCTTACTTAGTGTCCTCATGCATGGATAGAGTTAAAATGGTTTAGGCATCATTTTGCATTAGAGTTCTGGAATGTATGCAGAGCAAGGTTGGATGGATTTTTACCATGTAAGTCAGCCACTAGGCAGTATTTGTAGTGGAAATGGGCCTCTAACACTCATTTCCAATAGGACAGTAGAAAACATGGTATCTACCACCACAGATCTGCTGTCAAAAGTTTAACCTCCTATGGGTTAACATGCGAGTGATTTATTTTATCTTGTGAGCTACTTTGACACCAAAGTATCTTGAATGGTCATAAGTTTGACAAAAAGACCTTTATGGCTGGTTGAAATTAATGACCTCTAAAGTTTGATTTTACCCTGAGATCCTGTGATTCTAAGAGCAGCAGTAGAAATCCTAGGCATCTTTCAAGTGTCATTCTGAACAACAAAAAAAATAACATCAGAAGGGAAAATCTTTTAGACTCATTATCTTGCCATTTCAACCAATATAAATACCAGCTTTATTTTTTGAAAGCTTTATTGGAATTTCTACATAAGGCTACATACATTTCTAAATAGCTCCCTCAAACTAGAAACTTGTCTATAAAACAACTGAAATCAAATGGAAAGCCCCTTTTCTCAGCCTTATATAAGTAAACCTTACTTATATATACCTGATCAATAGGGCTATACTCTCCCTGACAGATGTTTTCATTTTTTCTGCCTGAATATAATGTAAATGGAGCAAATTCTACCCTAAGGTGCAATATTATACCACAGACTGATATAATAATAATTTATGGCCTATATATTATAGTTATATAAAATGTCTCATACCACATCACCAATTATAAGGGGCTGATCTGCAATACAACTGATAGGTTTAGTCCTATAGGACATTTCATTCCAGTTATAGTTTAATTTTCAACCTTACTCATTTGTGATCTCTCTTTATAATTGCCAAAAAGTTCAGGGATCATATGAAGCACTGTTTTTCAAATGGCCCATGTGGAAGCAGAAGCCTAGTACATATCTTTGATAAAAGAATTAACAAGGATAGTAATTTATTATATTCTGTAGGGAGAGAAATTAATAATTTAACTACAGAAGAATTCAGATGAATAGGAAAAGAAGAGGAAAAAAAGGAAAACTAGAAAAAAATTGCTTTCCAGGTTCACAGAAGGCAAACATCGTGTGGACACTTCCCCAGTGCCTCGGGCTATGTGGTTAAGACTAAACACACCGTGTGCTCTATCTTCTATTTGTTGAACCTCCAGGTGGAACCAGATTAGCAGAAAGAACGTTTCCTCGGTCATGAGGGAATTTAATTCTTATCACCTGCTGTGGAAGATTGGCAACAGCATTCCTGACCTAAAGAATAAACTTCTAATTGTTCTTAAGAAGGTAATTCCACCAAGGTAATTCTAGGTCTGCTTCAGCTATTCCTTATTTTTGAGTGATTTTATTTCAGACTTAAATCCATTCCCTTGACGATAACTGGAGAAATGAAGCATAGGAAGAAAATTGTCCAGAAAGGATAACACCAAACATTAATCTCTTTTGGAACAGAGAGACTCTTTGTTTTTAGTAAACTAGACACAGTTTCATGGGCATGTAGGTACTTGAGTGCCCACAATGCACCAGGCAATGTGCTGGGGGTGGCAAGAAATAAATGCAATGCTTCTCTACTCTGTGGCAAGCCCTGTGATAGAACTTTTTACACGCCATCTCAGCAGACCCTGCATTTGTCTAATGTCTATTTCATGCTTTTTACACCTGTGTAAGGCAGTCTATAAGGTGGCTCCCAACTGTCTCAGCCTCCTGGTATTCATACCCTTGATTATTCCCTCCCCTTAAATGTCCTATACTTATTGACTCACTTCTAAGTGATGAATAGAATACAGTAGAGGTGACAGGATGTCACTTTCAAGATTAGATTGAAAACAACAATGGCTTCCACCTTCTCCCCAACCCTCAATCAAAGACAGCTATTAAGTTGTAAGCTGTCCTGTAGAAAGGCTCTTGTGCCAATGAAGTATTATCTGTGGCCAACAGTCCACAATGACTAAGGCCTGCCACCAGCCATAGGTAAGGGCTTGGAAGCAGATCTCTCCCAAGTTGAGGTGACTGAAGCCCTGGCTGTCACCTCGGTTGCAGCCTTATGGAGGGACTCTAAGCCAGAGGCACCCAGCTAAGCCACATCTGGATTCCTGACCTGCAAAAATTAGGAGGTAATGCCTTGTTGATTTTTGAGCTGCTACGTTTTGGAGTTATTTGTTATGCAGCAATAGAGAACTAATATAACACCATTTCCTCCTCTCTAGTCACCATTATTTAGAAACAACTCCATGAATGAACAATGAGAATCAAGAGCTGGGAATCAATAGTTGAGGTGACAGATTAGGCAACAGCATGATGGCCAGCACGTGTCTCACCCAGAAGCTGTCCTCTTCCTTCTTATAAGACAAGGCTCTAACTCATGAGGATGGTTTTTACCACAAAGTTGCACGAGGTGCTTGAATTTACCACAAAGTTGCAGGAGGTGCTTGACTAGTACAGGAGCACAGCTAAAAAAGGCTCTGCAGACCAAGTCTTCCATATTGATCACATCTTAGCTAACACTGCTATGGCTTAATTGGGCAAACGGCCAATGGCATCTGATCTGCCATTTTCCATTTCTCTCAAAAACTAGTTAAGGTATGGGAAGGACATCTACCTCATTTTCCTCTCCTGCCTCCCCGCCTGCCACACACATTGAGGGCCAAGAATGGCTCTTTGTAAAGCTACTTGAAATAAATGCTACAGGCCTCGTCCTGCTTGGAAGTAAATCTGGATGGAATGTAATCAAACAGCATGCATTTGGCATCAACTTATGTTTGAGCATTGCAGGTATAAAAATGAAAAATATGTTTTGGCAGAGAGTTGGACAGAAAGGAAGACTTAATTAAATATCTGAAATATACACCACTGGAACCAATTAATAATCATCAAGGGATCAGAAAAGGAAGGACAGTAATAAAAAGAGTTTATAAAGTCGAAATTTCAGGTGAGAGGGAAAAAATCCTATCCACATTCTTCTGAATCTCTGAATTGGTAAGCAACACTTTATTTTTCATTTTCCTAACTAATATTTATGCATTGTCAATGTCCTACTGCCTTCAATAAGTTTACAATCTAACTGGGAGACCAAAATCTCTAAAATGCAATAATGTGTGCATCAAAACTCAAGTTCTTATCAGGGACTGATTACTTTGGAGTCCTCAGCTCCATCTCCTAACCCATGTATACACTTTCATAGTTCCTCTTCAGAAAGGAACTATTTTTATTCTGTAAAAATCTAGTGGTCAAATGAAATGGGTATGCTTTATAGGTAAGGATCCTGAAGCAAAAATCAAATGCATAAAGATTACACGGCAAATGAAGTAAGAGATTTTTAAGCTCTGACACCATTTGATTTTTAGTTTTTTCTATCACAAAATAGTGCTAATAGCTTATAAAATTAAAATAAGTAAAAGTAGCTTTGTTAAAGCAGAAAGAAACTTACACTTCCCTACAACAATTTGCAAACTTAAGTCAAATGATCAATGATCAAATAGCAGAGGCTGGAGTGTGCCCAAGGGGGACTTGATCTTATTCTGGGTGTTTTAGCCCAAGCAGAAATCAATGCAGGGTTTTCTGCCACCTGCTTATTTTGTTTCCAGTCAAGCAAAACAAGGGGCTTATCTCCCTCACAGATCAGCATATGAGATATGCTTCAGATATGTTTGCCTGTCAGACTCATAAACACAACAAGATATGCCAGCTGCAATGAAGAGAAGCCCTGTTTCAGTTCGTGGATTACAGACTGCAACATCCATCAGCATCAAGACAAACACCTTCAAACTACTGTCC
Organism: Homo sapiens; assembly: GCF_000001405.40. NCBI lineage: Eukaryota > Metazoa > Chordata > Mammalia > Primates > Hominidae > Homo > Homo sapiens. The sequence continues at coordinate 79,074,661 of NC_000014.9, read as the reverse complement.
TTGGCGTCCAGCCTAACAGATCTGAGGAATGTGATAAAGGAACACTGGATTCCCAAGGTCTGCTCAGGTTTCCTTCCATAACAAGAAGTAGCCAAATACAGCTGAACAGGCCTGGTAAGTAAAGGAGAAGCCTCCTTCCTTGAAACACTTTGCTGTATTCTCAAGAACAAACACAGACCCCTAGTATCTAGGTCTTAGTACTCATGATGACTACCGACCTCTGGACCAGTTATATCTGTCAAGCCTTAACTATTTTACTAGCATATTTCCCCTAGAACTGATTTAGTAATTTGAGAAATAAAAATGTTATAATACCTTTCATATAGAGAAATAATTTTTTCAACTCATTGGAAGTACATTATCATTTTGATCATTAAAATTACCCTTTGAAATACATTGGGCAAATATTTTTATTTTAAAGATGAGAAGGAAGCTCCAAAGACACTAAAATTTGATGTGCAAGACTGCAGAGCTAGTTTGTAGAAATGTGGAATGGACCCATATGTTTTTTGTACCACTCCAATTTAAGAATACATTTAGTCATGTATAAGTCATGACTAATAATATTCATTGTGTACCTACGATGTGGAAGGTAATGTGTTAGATAATGTGAACAATGCAGGTAAACTACTAAGCTTCATTTTATTTAACAAAAATGTATATTGTGCCTACCATATGGCAGGTACTTTTCTACGTGTGTTACAGAGATTTAATCCTTATAAAATACCCTCCTATGTAGTGGTTACTAGGCACAGAGAGGTTAAATAACGTGTCCAAGGTCACTCAGCCAGTAAGTAGCAGAGCTGCAATTTGAGCACAGGCAGTCTGGCTTGAGAAAATGTTTTCTTGATACTTTACTATGTATGCTACTTTACAAAAGACTGATAGTTGATAGCTCCAAGACAGTGAAGGAATATCAACAGCCATGTGCAGATAGAAAAAAATGGATAGAAATAAAGCCCTTCAATATATTTCTGACTTAGATTTTTAAAGAAGGGCTGGGAACAGTTGCAAAGGGAAGGGAATAAAAAGAAAAGGCTGTTGTTAACACACTGTATTGCAAAGAGCTTTCCAATTTCTTTAAGGACCTAAGCCACCAAACACTGGTCCTAGTAACTTCTATCACATAGATTAACTAGGACTCCCATTTCAGCATTGATTTTATTCACATCAAGCAGGAGGAAAATGCTGATTTAATCTGTAATTTTCTTACATGGCACAATGCAATGTGTGTAAGAAAAATAAATGCCAATTTGTCTTTAAGATACTAATCTGGAGCAAGTTCCTACAGGAAATAGGTAAAGGCAATATCTAGATGCCTCAATGCCATGTCTAGATTTTGTGCATTCTAAACTCTATCTGTAGAATTTTGACTCTCTGAAATAGTTTCTACATTACCAAGTATCTCCAAAAAAGGGGGGATATCCGTTGGTTGCAGTAGCATGACTTTTAGCTTAGAAAATAACTTAGAGACGGGCCGGGCGCGGTGGCTCATGCCTGTAATCCAAGCACTTTGGGAGGCGGAGGCGAGTGGATCACCTGAGGTCAGAAGTTCAAGACCAGCCTGGTCAAGATGGTGAAACACTGTCTGTACTAAAAATACAAAAATTAGCCAGGCGTGGTGGTGGGCACCTGTAATTCCAGCTACTCAGGAAGCTGAGGCAGGAAAATCACTTGAACCCTGGGAGGGGGAGGTTGCAGTGAGCCGAGATTGCACCACTGCACTCCAGCCTGGGCGACAGGAATGAAACTATCCGTCTCAAAAAAAAAAAAAAGAGAGAGAGAGAGAGAAAACACATACCACATGGAAAAACAAGGGAGGGAGGAGAGATGGGGAGACAGAGTACAAAGGATGATCATCTTAGTCATATAGTCATTGAATGGCACCATCACAATGAACTCTTCAATCCAGCAACAATAACAGCAAGCATTTTACAGTTTTTAAAAGTAACTAATCATTTGTATGTGCATGATTTTACTTAGTTCTCATAACAGCTCTATGAAATAGGCCTAAATTATCAGCTAAGTCACACTGGTTGATACATTCAAGGTTACAGGTGATTTTGCATTAAAAGAGGGACTTTTTTCTCTGTTTTAAAACCACAAAAATTGTATTATCTCCGTTATGCTATACCATAGTATTACTTTTTTATTCCAGCTGAAACCACTGATTTCTTTCGTTTAAGTTCAGAGGTTCGTAACCTGCTCAATGGTTTAAACAACAACAACAAGCAGTATCGGAAGTCAGCATCATCTACTCAGCAGCCCAAATCTGGAAGGTTTTGGAAAAAATCAGGACACCACTGTTAACCACCTTAACAAGACTGCAAACACAGGCTGTCTATTCCTCATCAACAGAATCTTTGATACTGGCAATTTGTTTAGATTGGCTTGCAGAAGCATATATTGGTAGCTATGTTATGAATATTTACCGGTTTCATACACATTCATAAAAATCAGAAACATTTTCCTCCTAGGTATCTGCATTGGTCTTGAATGGCTGTTTAAAAATAATCAGAAACCCCCACTCATTCAAGAATGACTCTTACCTACAACCCAAATAAGCCATACAGACAAGGGTAGATCTCAGATGAATGATAATCAAGGGCCCTGTTAAAATCTTCTGAAATCAAAAATAAATAGTAATTACTTTATTATCTATCTGCCTATCTATTCAACCATTCACATTCTTTAAAATTTTTGTAGGTACATAGTAGGTGTACATATTTATGGGGCATAAGTTATATTTTGATATGGGCATAAATGTGTAATAATCACATCAGGGTAAATGGGGTAGCCATCACCTCAAGCATTTATCCTATTACAAGCAATCCAATTATGCTTTTTTAGTTATTTTGACATGTGCAATGAAGATATTATTGATTATAGTCACCCTGATAGGCTATCAAATCCTAAATCTTATTTATTCTTTCTAACTATTTTTTGGTACCAATGAACCGTCCCCACTTTTCCCTCCAAGTTCCTTAACCTTCCCAGCCTCTGGTAACCATCCTTCTACTCTCTCTCTCTCCATGAGTTCAATTGTTTAAATTTTTAGCTCCCACAAATAAATGAGATCCATTCATTCATCCATCCACCCATCTATCCAAAGTTGTTTTCACTGACTGCAAATCCATTGGTTGGGTCAATTGCTTATGAAGATACATGACAAAAGGGTGATATTTATTTATGTATTTAAAAAATGTGTTTCTCAATGAGAACACATGGACACAGGGAGGGGAACCTCACACGCTGGGGCCTGTTGGGTAGTGGGGGGCTAGCAGAGGGATAGCATTAGGAGAAATACCTAATGTAGATGACAGGTTCATGAGTGCAGCAAACCACCATGGCACATGTATACCTATGTAACAAACCTGCATGTTCTGCACATGTATCACAGAACTTAAAGTATAATAGAAAATGGCAAAAACCACATTAAAAAAAATGTGTTTCTTCCGCTAAATTAGAACAATCAAGCTCTGTGTTATTCATCACTGAATAGCACAACCGAGAGGCTACCAGAAACATACTTAGGGGTATTTGATAGGATTTTCAAGAAGTCCACTGTCCAAAGATTCTTAATTCCTTTTCAGGAAGAACCAAGAATCCTTAGAGCTAATAAATCTACTTCAAATGTTTAATGGGTAAAAAGAGTTTGACACTAACTACTCCAGGGCAAGAGAAATTGCTATGCATAGCCTTAATACACTACGGCTACATCGTTAAACTGCGACCCAAACTACATGTTTGCTCCATCCCAGAATCACCCCCAACATGTCTATTTATCTCAAGAGGGATTCTGAAAGCAAATCTTTGTAAATAATCTGGACGTATTTTTTTCCAGGACAGATTCTAAATTTTCCTACCATAAATGTATGTGTGGTAGTAGTTATAATAATTCTTATTAGGAATATTTATTTAAAACTGATTTTTGTTTGAATTTTGGTTAACTTATTTCCCCTATCGGAAGAAAAAAATGGAAGTGGGAGGGATATTCAAATATAGAATAATAGTAAGGAAAATGGTAAATCTTTGAACTCTATCTTGATTACATGCAAATATCTCTAAAAGGGATAGCAATAGTCAAACACACACAGGGAGAGAAATGTGGAGTTATTGAGTTATTAAGGGAGCACTGCATGTGGCTGGAATATTGGACAACATTTTCCAAAAAGCATTGAAGACTCTTTAATTACTCAAGGCTATCAAATATCATGGAGCTGTGATTTGTTTCTTGTCACACACACAGCTGACAAAGAGTGGCCACAATGAAAAGCTGTGACTTGATGACCTGTTATTGGGAGTGCTTTTACATTTTTAATTTCTTTCTTACTCTTCCTTCCTTTGGGGGAATGGAGAGAAACTCTCACCCCTTCCTTTTACCATACAGTCAGAAGATTAATGTTTCATAATAGAATCACATAGAGTTGTGTTTGTTTTACTGTCAAGGGCATTACGGAAACTGACAGTCAAACTACCAATTTAAAAGGATGCGTGGTGCTATCCCGAACAAACATAGGAGGCTTGTGTACAATGCAAAGGCCAATTAGAGGGTCATAACATCCTTCCTAATTTGATGTGACATTGGTTTCCCAAATGAATGAAACCTGACACATACAAAACTCAAAGTCTATAACAAAGAAAACAGGTAGAGATGGAAGGAAAGGTAAAAAGGAAAAATGTTGACTGTCATATCCTGCTTATTATAAGCAGCTCACTTACAAATTATCATATTGCTTTTCTCTTATCATATGACTTTCATCTATGGCAACTCCAAACACAGGTACAGAAGAGGTCCTGATAATACATGTCCTAGAATCACTGTCTTATGATTATCAGAATGTTTTAATAAATCCATCACATTGTCTGGGCTGCAAGCAAAATAGCATCACAGTTATACATGATGATAAAAATTTTTGTAATGATCACAGTGTGTCACAATATAATCACCAGGGCCAGATCTTGAGACTCAAATGTCACTTCAAGAGAAAGTTTCTGGAAGTTTTAATGGACACAGAATAAATACATAAAAATTAGCAGGTCATAGCTTTTTAACTCATCAGAAAAGTGGTATTTTCTCTGACCTTTTTTTTTTTTTATAAAATTTCAACCTCCCAAGTCCCTATTTCTTTTATCTACCTAGTTTCTCTTTGTAGCACTTAGCACTGTCAAACAAGTTACATAATTTACTTACTTGTTACCCATTCCCAAGCCCCTCATGCCTGGAAGAAAATTCCACAGAGACAGGGTTTTTTGTCCACTTTGTTCAGATCAGCAAATAGTTATTGAATTAATTAATTACTTAATGTCTTCATACCAACTGGGTGTGGGCTTAGTATTAAAATCATATCACTGAGCCAATTTGAGCAAAGGTGGAGGCTACAGAGATTGACAAAGAAGAAGAATAGGAGATAGGAAGCCAATGATAGAAAAGAGATGGTCAGGTATAAACTTCTCATGTGTTTCCCATCCTTGCCTTACATTTTCCTCTGCTGTTCTCTTGCTGCCATTTCATCTCACAGCCTTTCATATTTAGCCAACAGTGCTGTCGCCAAAGGAACTCAATGCCCTGGAGAGAAATTCAGTGTATGCTTCTATTCATCCTCCCCTTATCAGTGGGAACCATATCATTTCAAATGATGCCATGTTATAATCCCTAGAATACAACAAAGTAACTCTCCTGCTAGTATTAACAAGTTAATCAAATTAAAGGTATTCAGAATTTATACTGCCTAAGGCTGTTTCTGCTTTGTCTTCTCCCCTGTTCTTCCCCTGAAACCTCCCACCAGCTTGAATAGTATAACTGAAAATCCAGCTGAGACGGGCAACATCTAATAATTCTTCACTGGAGTACGTTATTTAGACTTCCATTCACTGTGCATACGTATTCACTGAATATTATTAAACTACATATTTATTGAGTTGTGCCATTCTTTCCTCTTTTTTGAGTTTCATTTTAAATGAACATATAGTTGTTTAAACCACAACTATAACATAAATAAAAGAAACTCACAAAATAAAACATCTGGTATCCCCAGGAAATTAAATGCTAAAATACTATGTTAATTCAAGTGACAAGTGGAGACTTTAAATGTGGAGAATTCAAGAAAGATCAAATTTATACTTCCCATTGTCCCCAAAACAGCAAGGCAGCATATGTACATTTATTAAGATATAAATATAAGATAGCAGGCATGGTCTAGAGAATTAAGTAGGCGACTTAGAAATTGCTTTTGCCTTTGACTCAGCATGTGATCATTATAAAATGTTATTTAACATTGAGGGTCTCAGTCTTTCCCTCTTTTCTAACTTTTTATTTTCAAGAATATATTTGCCTAAGTAATTGAGAAAGTTATACTTAACCCTTTTGTCCAACAGGTTTAAAGTTAAAGTATTCTTTCTCTTTTATAATAAACCACTTCCTATGTGATTAAATAAAATGTATACTCCATAATTATTGCACCTTGTACAATGAAATACCTGCCTCTGAGAATCGAACATAAAAACTAGAGACAAATACAAGATAACCTCTAGTACAGTGCTTACTTCCAGATATCCACAGATATTTTTCCAGGTCTCTGTTCTCCTTTGAGTTCTTTAAGGGGAAAAAATATATCTAGAAAGGGTAAGGGTGTCCAGAGGTTTTGGATCACATTTGAGTGATCCAAAATTCCAATCCTTCAACATATTCATAGCCTCATGTCTGTTCTCATAATCCTCTTGATACTTCAGCCATCAAACAAGAGCTACAATTATCAAGTCTAAAAAATATTTTTATCACTTCATGTTAAGGGTCAAATTAAGTCCTGCCCCCAAAGGTTCATGTGTTGAATGGGTTCATGTGTTAAATTCCTAACTCACAGTTAGACATTGTGAACTTATTTGAAGGTAGAGTCTTTACCAAGGTAACAAAGTTAAAATGAGGTCATTAGACTGGACTCAAATCCAACATGATTGCCTTCCTTATAAGAAAGGTAAATTTGAACCAGGAAAAATACTGAATCCCTGAATAGACCACGTTCTGAAATTGAGGCAGTAGAGAATAGCCTACCAACTAAAAAAGCCCAGGACCAGATAGATTCACAGCTGAATTCTACCAGAGGTAGAAAGAAGAGCTAGTACACATTTCTACTGAAACTATTCAAAAAATTGAAGAGGAGGGACTCCTCCCTAACTCATTCTATGAGGCCAGCATCATCCAGATACCAAAACCTGGCAGAGACACAACAAAAAAAGAAAAATTCAGGCCAATATACTTGATAAATATTGATGCAAAAATCCTCAATAAAATACTGACAAACTGAATTCGGCAGCACATCAAAAAGCTTATCCACCACGATCAAGTTGGCTTCATCACTGGGATGCAAGTTTGGTTCAACATATGCAAATCAATAAATGTGATACATCATATTAACAGAACTAAAGACAAAAATCACATGATTATCTCAATAGATGCAGAAAAGTACTTCAAAAAATTCAACATCCCTTCATGTTTAAAATTCTCAATAAACTAGCTATTAAAGAAACATATCTCAAAATAGTAAGAGTCATATATGACAAACCCACAGTCAATATCATACTGCAGGGCAAAAGCTGGAAACATTCCCCCTGAAAACTGGCACAAGACAACGATGCCTTTCCTCACCACTCTTATTCAACATAGTATTGGAAGTTCTAGTCAGGGCAACCAGGCAAGAGGAAAAAATAAAAGGTATTTGAATAAAAAGAGAGGGAGTCAAATTATCTTTGTTTGCAGATGACATTGATCCTACACCCAGAAAACCCCATCGGCTCAGCTCAAAGGCTTCGTAAGCTGATAAGCAATTTCAGTAAAGTCTCAGAATATAAAATCAATGTGCAAAAATTGCTAGCATTCCTATACACCAATAAAAGGCAAGCAGAGAGCCAAATCATGAATGAACTCCCATTCACAATTACTACAGAAAGAATACAATACCTAGGAATACAACTAACAAGGGAAGTGAAGGAACTCTTTAAGGAGAATTACAAACCACTGCTCTGAGAAATCAGAGAGGATAAAAATAAACGACTAGGGAGAATCAATATCATGAAAATGGCCATACTGCCCAAAGTAATTTATAGATTCAATGCTATTCCCATTAAACTACCATTGACATTCTTCACAGAATTAGAAAAAAAATTTAAATTTATATGGAACCAAAAAAGAGCCTGAATAGCCAAGTCAATCCTAAGCAAAAAGAACAAAGCTGGAGACATCACACTACCTGACTTTAAACTATTCTACAAGGCTACAGTAACCAAAACAGCATGGTACTGGTATAAGAACAGACAAATAGATCAATGGAAAAGCACAGAGAACTCAGACATAAGACCGCACACCTACAACCATGTGATCTTTGACAAATCTGACAAAAACAAGCAATGGGGAAAGGATTCCCTAATTAATAAATTGTGCTGGGAGAACTAGCTAGCCATATGCAGAAAACTGAAACTGGGCCTCTTCTTTACACCACATACAAAAATTAACTCAAGATGGGTTAAAAAATGTAAAATCCCAAACTATAAAAACTCTAGAAGAAAATCTAGGCAATACCATTCAGGAATTAGGCGTGGGCAAAAATTTCATGACAAAAACGCCAAAAGCAATTGCAACCAAAGCAGAAATTGACAAATGGGATCTAATTAAGCTAAAGAGCTTCTGCACAGCAAAAGGGGAGGCAGAGGGAGAGCATCAGAAAGAAGAGCTAATGGATGCCAGGCTTAATATCTGGATGATGGGATGGTTTGTGCAGTAAACCACCATGGCACACGTTTACCTAGGTAACAAATCTGAACATACTGCACCTGTACCCCTGAACTTAAAATAAAAATTGTAAAAATAAAGGAAGGTAAATTTGGACAGAGGCATGCACACAGAGAGAATGTCACGAAAACATCAAGGCCGAGATTGGGGTGACTTGTCTATAAAGAATGGCAGAGATTACTGGCAAACCATAAGAAGAGGAGAGAGAACAAGGCAGGTTCTTCTTTATGGTTCTCAGAATAAACCAACCCCGCCAGCACCTTTATCTCATACTTCTAGTCTCCAGAACAACACATTTTCTGTTTAAGCCACCTGGTTTGTGGCACTTTGTCACAGCAGCTCTAGCAAAGTGATACACTTCACCTTCACTTATAATATCCCTGCCTCTCAGTGAAAATTCAAAATATCTGCCATAGGCTACATGGCCACCCTTTCTGCATTTACTCAGTCTCCTGTCTCTTCTCTCACCAGTTCCACCCTAAAGTCCAGCAACCTTGATTTTCCGCAGTCTATTCCATGCCTTTATGAAGTAAGTGCTAATACGTAAACTAATGTTCTACCTGACCGGTTCCTTTCTTGACCTGGCAAAATCTTATCCCTCTTTCAGAATCTAAATCAAATGTTATCCGTCTGAAGAATACCCAGTGTATCAGGGACCTATACATCAAAAATGCAGTGTTGAAAGAAAAAAGCAAGATGTGAATTATACTTACATAGTACACTGTACTATGTAAGTAACTGAATAAACTACATAAAATAACATATGCTAGTATTTTTCTAGATGTATATATATATATGCATGTAAATACATATTTTAAACGTTTGAAGTATCTACAGCAAACTCAAAATAATGATTCCCTTGGGATTTTGGGAGAAGCAGCTCTGGTTGAGGAGAAAGTGGATAAGGAAACTTTAACTTTTCAATATTTTTAGAGAAGAAAAATATACTATATGTTACTTTTATAATTTAGAAAAGAACTAAAGGAAAGTATGCCAAATTTTAATGTACTCTAATTACACCTAAAGGTGTTTAATTCTGGGTAATTATATATACACACACACACACACACACATATATATGGGTAATTATATATATATACACACATACATATATATGGGTAATTATATATATATATACATATACATATATATGGGTAATTATGAAAAATATATATGGGTAATTATATATGTATAAATAATTTTATATAATTACCCATATATATTTGTTAATATGCTAGTTTTATATATACATATATAACTTGTTTTATAGTTTTGTAAATTTTCTTTTTACTTTTCAAAAAAGAAATGAAACCAAAATGCTGAGTCCAGTCCCTAAAGCTAGAGGAAGAGAAGAAGTGAGATTTAGGGAACCAACTATAGACCAAAAATAACTTGGAGAATATGACCAATTGGAGACACCACCTGTCCCTGTGTCCCTACTGTTCTTCCTCAACTTTCCATTACAACTCTTCTTGAAAGGAGAAGTGAGAACTATTGCACCCCTATGAAGACTGTAATGACTTCCTGAACCTCTATACCACTTGCAGTTCCGTGAACAACACTGAAAAAAAAACTTAGTGTTCTCTTAAACCTGGTTTTTATTATTACTCCACTCTACCTTTCTGCTGGCATTGTAGTTCTGTGGAGAAATCGGAGAAAAACACCTGGGCTCTACTCACGGCTGTGCCATTGTCTCCATGTTTGACCAAATAATCCGCTCACAGATGAAAAGCACTGATGATTATGAGAAATTGATTAGTAGTTTAAGATGGCTCAAGAGCTGATACAAACACAAGTAATTTACCGTTTAATTATTTAGGAATTCATCCTCACTTGCTTTAGTTTTATATGAAGGATCACACTTGCACTGTGATGTAAACTTCTTCACACATACTTGTTTTTATGAATATGTAGATATACAAAAACAAGAAAACATAATATATTGGCTAAGATAAAAAGATCATATGCATTCTCTTTTTTCTGTATCAATATTTTTATTTTTTCTCAAGTCAATATACAAAAAGGACCCACAATTCCAACATGTTAAACAATTTTATTTGGTTCTTTAATGGTAAAACCTTAGGAGTTTTTCGCTCTATCTTGAGCAAACATAAAGAGGTTGCCAATCCCTGAAGCAGTGGCTTGCTCCTGGTTTTTTTCTCTTTCCTCGGCTTGTATTAAAAAATGGCATAACTTTGTTCATGGCACATCGCTTCGTCACCATAGAAATGCCTGTGATGATGTGGTGAAATACCTTTCCAATAATATTTCCTATGGGTTCTGAACTGCAAGAAGAAGGTTTTGTTAATATAAAAGGTAAAATACAGCACTTTGGGAGGCCAAGGCAGGTACATCACCTGAGGTCAGGAGTTCGAGACCAGCCTGACCAACATGATGAAACCTCATCTCTACTAAAAATACAAAAATTAGCCGGGCATGGTGGTATGCACCTGTAATCCCAGCTACTCAGGAAGCTGAGACAAAAGAAGAGCTTGAACCCGGGAGGCAGAGGTTGCAGTGAGCCAAGATCATGCCATTGGACTCCAGCCTGGGCAATAAGAGCGAGACTCCATCTCAAAAACAAAAACAAAAAACAAAAAAACATAAAATAACTGTCAATTCCTTGCTTGCCTAACCTCACCCTTAAAGGATAAGTGCATGTGGGCACCTTTCCTTTCAAGAATGTGTAAAGTCTGAACAAAAGAATTCAGTGTTTGGAAGCTGGGAGTTTAATTTGTCATTCAAACCAAAATCTATTCAATAGAAACAAAACCATATGCAAATGTATGTCCACAGTTGAACACACCAACACTTGGCTTCCTCGTTTATCACAAAATATAAAGATAAACTGCTAACATTCACCTAAATTATCACCTACTCCTCCCCCCCTTTCTCAAAATACATACTATACAAATTACTGCCTTTAAGGGAGTAATTTCAGGTTTTTCACCTCAGAATTATTGCTGCCAATTGCTAATATGGTAAAACCAATTTTCCCTGCAAGAATTCACAACACCCAGAGACTTGGGGTTTTTGTTTCGTGTTTTATATTTTTCTCTTGCATGAAAAACAAAATTGAATAGAGAATGAGAAATAAAACACATGAGTGTTACAAACCCTTTGATTACTCTAATTACACCTAAAAGGAAAACAAGACCCCTCTCTTGGTAGGAGAAGTATGAATAATTAATAGGAAAGGGAGGAAGGTAGAAAAGCTATAAACCATTGTCAACTGATCTGCACAAGCACCAGAGACGCACTTTGTGTCCTGACAAAAGCTAGTCATCATTGCTCTTGCTCCCTCATCCCTAACGAGTAGATCTCTCCCTCCCTGCTTTTGCCCCAGCTCTAATAACTCAAGTGAAGTTGTTTTCAAATGGATTAATACCATTCTGGGGGGCCTGAGTCAGTAAGGACATTCCTGGAAACTTTGCCATTGTGCTGTATTTGGAAAAAGAGTGAACTGTGAATGTTCACAGTCTTAAGGGCAGTCATAGAGAAAACTGGAACCTTGTAAATGTTTAATTACAATTTCCCTCATTAGATTGAACCCATTGAGCATAATGAAAGAAAGAAAGGGTGTAGGTGTGGAGGGAGGGACAAGCATGAGAGGGAAATTGGCAAGAGAGTTCAGCCTGGGTCCCGTAGGAACCAGCTGCTTGCTGCTCCAAGCAATGAAAATCTTTGCATGTAATTAATTCCAGGGATCAAAAGCCTGCCTTGTTTTTGCAGGTAATGGGGAAGTACAGCTCCTAATGGGGACCCCTTGAAGATACCAAATAGCCAGTGGCTAAATAAAGCAATTTAAAAATTATGGACGTTTTACTAAATAAATGAACATGCTTCAGTAGTGACAAAGAGGATTTCCTAACAGCTTCCTACTTATTTATGTGCTTGTGTGTTTCACCTCCAGACAGAGAAAACTCAGAAAGTGGAGCTGGAGTCTCTGGGTAAGGTGTGATAAATTAGTACAGGTAAACTGAAACAACAGCTATTATTCTTTCTGCCCACTCTGGCATTAGGCATGCTGCGTTAGTCCACCGACATAAGGGATGGGCCGGGATGGGGAGGGGCACTCCACATTCTTCTCCAATGGTGAGGGTGTGAGTTGGGACAAGGACAACTCGTAACTTGTGTATAACCCAGTTTGGTTAGCAAAGACAAACCAAGGTAATCCTTGATGCCGTAGACCTTGTCATGGGTGTTGGATGTCCTCAAAAAAGCAGGCTATGCCAGCTTCTACAATGCCAGTTCATTGTTTCACAGCATTCCACTGCAGTGCTAATAAAACCCAAACTCCCAAGCAATGGTCGTCCTTGTAAGTTTTACTTTCAATCTTGTCCCCTATATTCCAGTCACTATGGCTTCATTCACTACACACCCTTATCACATTCCCCCTTGCCATGGGTGCTTTGCACACTGTTCTCTGTGACTGTGATACTTTTGCCTCCCCTTCCTGGTTAACTCTGCCCCTCCTTCCTATCTCTAGCCAGGAACTCTCAGACGATCTCTTCCTGAACTTTCTGATTCCATCAGATCTCTGTATCAGATAGCACCAAGGTCTACAGCTTTGTAGCATGAATTACCATTACAAAAGTACTTTTGCTTGTGAGAGTATTCAATTAGTGTGTGTCTCTTCCTCTAGAATATAGTTTCATATGAACAAAGATGGGATCTCTTTATGCACTGTTGTCTCCCCAGTGTTTAGCACATAGAAGGTACTTAATAAATTCTTATTGAATTAATTAATCAATTAAGGATCTCCTTCTGACTGTAGACCATTTATTAATTTCTGGCTTCTGAAAGGAGAGCCACTTCTACGTATAAGCCACTAAGTAGATGCCTGACTGTTCATCATGAATTATTATGTCCCACGATAGACACTGGTACAGAGAGACCAACAAGGCCTGAGCATGCCACACAGTATTTGATATAATCAGTGATGCACAGTGAGCACCAACTTTGCCCAGGGTCCTCTGAGAGAGCGAACAGCCATGGGAACTTCTCCACCCTAATCTAGTAGAGAAATTATAGCAGTAACTGTAACACAACACACTCATAGAGACACAGGCAAGGTTTTGAGAGAGGTTATAAGAAAAAAAAAGAGGGAGGAATTTTCATCCTATTTCAAACCTATAAGAGAGATCTCATAATTCTAGTTTTATAGGAAGCTGAGACACGGAGAAGTTAAATAACTTACCCTCACAAAATTGTTTTTGAGCGAGAACTCAAAAATGTGTGCTTTCTTTTTAATTCTGAAACCAAATTCTTTTCATCATATTACTTTGGCTCTTTTGATGGTGGGATTTCACAGCACTTTATGCTAAAAAAAAACTAGAGTATTTGAACTACACATACATAGTCAGAGAAGTATTTACCAGTCATCCATCATAGGAATAGAGATGGAGATGAAAAAGTGGCATCCTGACATTTGGCTAATTTCCATGTACATATAAGGAACATGTACCATAGGGCAGGAACTGTGCTAAGCTGCAGATATAAGTATAGAAGACACAACACTTATCCTCAAGAAGTATTCAACTAAAAACAGTCCACTAGGAAAAGAAGCTTAAATGCAATGAAATCAAAGTTCTTACAGATAGTACTTGCTGTTGAATCTCTCGCTCTTATCTTAAGGCTTCTTGGCTTTCATTCTTGAGATTTCACTAAAGATTCTCTCCTCCAACAGAACATTGAATGGGACTTTGCCCTACCTCAGAAGTATCCCAAGAGGCACTAAAGTCCTGGCAAGATTTCAGACTACCTGGTTCCACAAAGTCTGAGGCATATTTCAAATGTGTTGCTTAGTGCACCCAGCTGTCTCAACAGCAAGGGAGCTGTTCCTCAGAGTGAAATCTGTGGGTTCACCCAAAAAAATTCTGTTTGACTCCTGTGTTTCCCCAAACCTGCAAACCAAGGCCAGAGGCAAGTAAAATAAGTTTCCTGGTATTTGTATGGATATTGGGAAGTACACAGAAGTGCTGTCTGATTCGAGAGATGGGATTCAGAAGAGGGACGCATTTGGTGTTGAATCTCTCCCTCTGTTCATCTCAAGAGTAATAGGCTCATTGCTCTCATTCTTTTGATTTCCCCTCTTCCTCATATTCATCTACCATCCAGTTGGGGTTATGAGAATTTACAAAAATGAAACAAAAGGATGGTTATCTTGTGACTTGAGTCAGAAAAGCCAAAAAGCTGACTTGAGGGTGAAATTTGTAGAAGCTGCAATAACATGAGAATCAATAACTAGAGACCTTGTTTGGACTCACAGAGAAGGAGAACAAGCATCTACCTGGAAGTTTTATTAGAATAGGGCCTGAGGCCAGGCGCGGTGGCTCATGCCTGTAATCCCAGCACTTTGGGAGGTCAAGGCTGGGGGATCACGAGGTCAGGAGATCGAGACCATCCTGGCTAACACGGTGAAACCCCGTCTCTACTAAAAATACAAAAAATTAGCTGGGTGTGGTGGCGGGCGCCTGTAGTCTCAGCTACTTGGGAGGCTGAGGCAGGAGAATGGCATGAACCCGGGAGGCGGAGCTTGCAGTGAGCCGAGATGGTGCCACTGTACTCCAGCCTGGGCGACAGAGTGAGACTCCATCTCAAAAAAAAAAAAAAAAAAAAAAAAAGAATAGGGCCTGAAGGCAGCCTTCTTATGATAGATCAATGCCCTCATTGTTTTGATCTGCTGGTGATAAGGAGAATAAATAGAAGATGATACTACAACAGGAAGTGAGAGGAACAAGTGAGAGGAACAAGTGAGAAATGTCATCTACTTGGTAAGGTTCCTTGAGGCCAATCCTGAGAGAGACAGGTATATACAGGACTTCCATTTTTACATACTGTATTAGTTCATTTTCACACTGCTATGAAGATACTACCTGAAACTGGGTAATTTATAAAAGAAAAAGGTTTAATTGACTCACAGATCCACATGGCTGGGGAAGCCTCAGGAAAGTTACAATCACGGCGTAAGGTGAATGGAAAGCAATCTTGGACCTTCTCACATGGTAGCAGGAGAGAGAAGTGTAAGCAGGGGAAATGCCACACGTTCATAAAACCATCAGATCTCCTGAGAACTCACTATCATGAGAACAGCATGGAGAGAACCGCCCTCATGATCCGATCACCTCCCTCCCTCAACACTTGCGGACTACAGGTCCCTCCCTTGACATGTAGGAATTTCAATTTGAGATGAGATTTGGGTGGGGACACAGAGTTAAACCATATCACATACCATGACAGTTATGACAACAGCATAGGGACTAGCTTTGTTTTCTCATGTCTAGAATCAAAGAATCTTGGAATTAGGAGGAACCTCAAAGTTCACTCAGGTCAAAGTCCTACCCAGTGCAAGAATCTCTCATTCTAATATTAAAAATATATATATATATCTCAGGGATTCTCTTTGCTCTCAGAAAATCAGTCTTCTCCTGACTCCTTTTATGTCCTTCTCAAGCCTGTGTTCCATTGTCTATTTCTCCACTTACATACTGCTTGTCTGTTTCACTTTGATCTTCTGCTGAATTTGGTTTGTTATTCTAAAAACCTGGAGCAACACAGACCCTCTTTTTTCCCCTTCCTGTTCCTGGACTTCCTGATACTGTTGGAGAAATGCTCACAACTGTACTGATCATTGCTGCTTAATGGTTTCCAACCTCAGTTTGAACCTCAGCAATCCTTTTAATCACCCCTGTTAAATTCCCTACAGCAGCTCCTCCAAACTTTTTTTTTCCAGCCCACAACTCTCTACTGACCCCTTCCCGCATCTCCTACTTTAGAGAAAATGTAGAGGCATCAGGCATAAGCTCCCTCAATTTTCCTCTCGGTTACATCCAAAGATTCATATTTTTAACCTGTCTGAAAGAAAAATAATTATCAATTGCTCTAACTCTGATCTCTCCATTTTATGCCTCATTCCGTACCTTGCTTCATCAATTATCACTCCTAGTCTTAATATATTATAAATTCTACTCCACTAGAAAAAAAATGAGTAAAGCCTTTTTTTTAACCTCGTCTCATCCTTGGAATGGCACCACATCTCTCCTTCCCTTTCCTGCCAAACTTGCCCAAGGAGCAGTTGGCAATCACTCCACTCACTGACCTCCCGTTCACTGCCCAGTGCAGTGCAAACTGGATTCTTGCCAACTCTCCCCTTAGAGTGCCCTCTCAGAGGTCACCAGAAGCCTTTACCTTTTAAACCCAATGGACTTGCCATTTTTCAGTTACCTAAAAGGTCCAAATGTGTCTTTCCTCTTGAAGTTCTCTCCACTCTTGGTTTTGGTGATACTGCTATAGCTCATTCTAAAATCTACCAGTTTAGTCATCTTCCTTACTCATCCCTCATGCTGTGACTCTGGATTCCATCTTTGGCTCCTGCTCTCTACACTGGTTCCTAAACCATTTTGTTTATAGTGCCATTTTCAGTCGTAGAATATGAAGTGGCACATTTATAGGGATTAAAAGGCTAAAAATAACACACACTAAATCCACATTAATTATAAAGAAAGCACTATCACACAGAAAAGCAATGTTTTCTGATATCGAAACATATCCACAATTATCACCTTACGTATTTGATCACTCCTTATGAACTCCCACATTTTCATTAGGCTCTAGATTAACATCATCTTTCTTATCTCTCTCTTTGCCTTTTATGCCTTGCTGGCTAATGTGCTGCATGACTTTCTCAGACATCACTTATAGCAGCATGAATCCTCAGATGTGGAAATAGAAAAGTTTACATACCAAATAACATTTGGTTACCCACTTGAGAAAGATTACCCATGTATACATTCCAGTGGTCTACTCGCTTGAGAAAATTTCAGTCTTACTCACAGCTTCAACAATCATCTTATAACATACAAGGCAATCTGACAGCCTTTGGGCTATAGTTAGATCAAGGACATGCTGTGAGATATCATATTAACTAGAAGCATCACATAAATATCCAATGTTTTGTTTTTATTTAGAAACTGTGGAGATCTGAGAGCACAGAGCAACAATTTACTGGAGCTGACTGGCAGTGGTGCCATTTGGAAGGGGCACCTGCTTGCCAATTTTCCATAGTCCCAGTACTTATTGCCTTATGCCTTGTCCATCTCACTTATTTGTATTACTTGCTTATTCTTCAGAGACATTTGCTTTGATGGTCTTTGCTTACACTGAAAATTCCCCAGTATACTTCACCAGCCCTGACTATTTTCTAAGCTCTAGATTCATAAGATCTAAAGGTTCTGTGGGCAATTCCACTTGTAGATCCTGCAGACCCCACACAACTCTTCCCTCTAATTATCCCTTCAGCTAGTTTTACCATCTTAATTAATAACTCCTCTGAACCCCGGACAGGATTAATTTCCATAGCTCTTTGTTTATATTGATATGTGTTTCACTGATTTTAGTTAGTTGTTAAGTGTTATGTACACTGTTACCCAGTCTATAGAACTTGCACATCATTTAAAAATGTAACTTGAATGAAAAAAAAAATGCACGGATACATTCAGAGATGAATGGTAAGTTATGTTTTCAATTTTTGGAGCATCAGATTTTATTGAAATTAAAATATGTTTCCCTATGACTTTCTCCAATTAGTCCTTACTATGCCCTCAGTAAATGAACAGAAAAAATAAATCATCTCTCTGTTTCACATGATAGCTCTCCAAATACTTTTTTAACTGTTAGCTATTCCTATGCACCCTTGCTTCCAGGTGTCTGCCAGACTAAGAATCTTTCATATCTGTGTTCTTCTATGCATTCCTACTGCCATTACCTGAAGACTACCATCATTTGCCACCTGTATTATGGCAAGAACCTCCTAATTTCTCCCCCAATATCGACATGTATTTTCCATTTTGAAGTCAAAAGAAATCATATAATTCGGCTTCTTTAAACATTTCACTTCTTCAGTACCCATAAGGTACAAAGTTCTTGACATTTCAAGGCCTTTGATCTGCTTCCTACTCATTTCTCCAGCCTCATGTCTTATTACTGCCTGACCTGCACACTCTGCTTCTGTCACTCTAAATGGCCTGTGAGCTCCTAAATTGACCTGCACTGTCTCCAAGTGCATGTGCATGTTGTTCATTGAGTTTAGAATGCTCCTAACTCCAGCCCACCTTTCCCTACTTAAAATTTATTTATCCAGGACCTAAGTTATCATTTTCTTGGCTAGGTATGATGATCCTTCCATTTATTCCCACAGCATCCTTTAGTTTTTCCTATTAAGATTAGAATGTTAATATATATATACTGCTCTCTTGCTCGTAATGAGCTGTGTAATTTTTCAAGCCTGTCATATCATATGAGAGAAATGTATATAGGTATACTTAAATGACCTTAGATGTTTTCCTCTAACCTTTCTTCATTTGCCAATGTTTCTCTTAAAATGTGTTACACAGATCCTAACAGAATTGCCCTTAGCTGGTCACAATGAGGCAATTACATCATTTGATTCCATCACTACCAAGCCGAGATTATTTTAACTTCCATTTATTCACCTGTACAGTCGGAGTAATATTATCTCCCTTTAAACCTGCTGTGCAGACTAAATAAGATGATGTATACTGCCACTTGCCCAATCCTGACAAACAGTAGGTGTTCAATGAATAACAACTGCTATAATGGAGTATACTATTACCATGATCCACCTGTCTTGGCATCCTTTAAAAAGCCGTCTTCTTATGACTGAGAGAGAAGGTGAAAAAGTCATGAAGTTCCGATTTGGTGGAATGGAAACATAGAGACAGCTAACGCCTAAGGTGTCTTTATGTGTCCTGCAGGAATAGAAACAGAAGGAGCCCAGAGTAAGCCACAGTAGTGGGATTAGGGTAGTGGAATCCCACATACTAATGGAACACAGTGCACTTGGGAATGCTTATTAGAGACATCTGCAGCTCCCAAGCTACCACTGTATTTACATACAACATCCACTTTAACTGAACCCTGCAGCTCACAAATGGTAAACTAACATCTGTTTACATTTTCAGAAAATACTATATTTTCTCTTCTATTCCAGTAGCCTTCAGCAAGTAGGAGACTGTTTCAGAAAGGGACCATTATTGTCTTTCCACAGTCCAAACTGTTCCTGTCAGGTATCTATGGATAAAGAAATTAAGGAGATTAAAAACTGTTAACAACTGGCCTAGGATTCTTAAAGGAAAGCTTGTAAGTGGCATTGGCTCTATATCCAAGTGTTTAGAATAAATTCTTCATGCTATACACAGATAGAATCCCCAGTCTGTCTCTCCAGCTGGGGTTTGCTCAGCCAGGGCCTTCAGTTCTCTGCATTCCCAAAGGCATATTTTGACTGGGAAACCTGCTGGAGTAGGACTCCTTGCACAGAGAGCAAATCCCCAAATAAGATTTCACACAAATTTTTGTGAAAAGTTTTTGCTTATGTCAAAAATCCTTTTCTAAGGAGAGAAAGCTGTAAATGCATGGGGTAGGAGATGGTCATCAAGGAAGCTCTAGACTTTCATACCACACACAGAATCTTGCCATTCATCCAAGGGCAAGCCTCCTTCATCTCTTGCCTGAACAACTGCAAGAGCCACTAATTCTTTTTTTCTTTTATATACTTTAAGTTTTAGGGTACATGTGCATAACGTGCAGGTTTCTTACATATGTATACATGTGGCATGTTGGTGTGCTGCACCCATTAACTCATCATTTAACATTAGATATATCTCCTAATGCTATCCCTCTCCCCTCCCCCCACCCCACAACAGGCCCCGGTGTGTGATGTTCCCCTTCCTGTGTCCATGTGTTTTCATTGTTCAATTCCTACCTATGAGTGAGAACATGCGGTGTTTGGTTTTTTGTCCTTGCGATAGTTTGCTGAGAATGATGGTTTCCAGCTTCATCCATGTCACTACAAAGGACATGAACTCATCAATGAAGAGCCACTAATTCTTAAGACCCAGCTGCAAGAGGAATCTTTTTAAAATCTATGATAAATTAGGTAACTCTCCAGCTTAAAATCTTTTCATGACTTTCCATTCCCAATGTGGCATAGAAGACTTGGCATGATGTGTCCCTGATCCCATCCCATTCCAACTTCATATTTCTCTCCACCTCTACCATAACCATTATCCTGCTGGCCTTCCAGTTGTTTAAGTTGTCCGAGCCTCTCTCTCACTCTTTTCTCACTTTCACCCTCTTTTCCCTTACCATCACAGACATTACTTCTTCCGCTAGGGACACTGTTGTGTTGCTGCTCTATCCCAACACAATACACACACACACAACACACACACACGGCATACAGCACACATAGAACACGCACAATACTCACATACAAAATACACACGCACACTCTCTTTATCTGAAAAACTTTTCTCCTCTTTCAGATTTTAGCTCTAACAACCTTTCTTTTGACCTTTCTTCCTGACCATCAAGGAAAGGTAGATATCGCCCATTATTCAATGCATTATAGTATCATGGCTAAAAGCAAGAGCTTTGGAGCCAGGGAGCCCTGGATCAAATCCCAGCTCTGTCACTTCCTACCTGTGTGACCCTAGGAAAGTTAACTAAAGTCTCTAGTCCTTCATTTTCTTATCTCTAAAAGCAGATAATAGCTTATGCCTTATAGGCTTATTAGAAGAATTAAATGAGTTAACATACATCAAGCTGTAAAACTGCACCTGCCATGTACTAAGTGCTGGGCAAATGTTAGCTCTGATTCTCAGTGAGTTTAGTTGCTTTAATTTCCTATCCACAATTAAATGTAATGCACATGAGAATAGCATCCTTGTTTGTCTTCTTCATCCATAGATCTCCAGTGCTAGCATAGAACAGGCAAATAGTGGCAACATGATGAGTTTTAAATCAATGAATGAATGAATGTAATTAAATAGTTGATGAGAGTGAAACATGAAATAAAATAATCTTAGTATTTTCTGAAAGAATAAGATTCGTTACACTCTCCCTGCTGTCTTTCACTACCTGCTACTTAAAGGCCAAGTGACTACTGCACATTCTTTTTGGCTAAGCACAATCATGCACACCAAACAAGTGACATCAGGGTATGAGAGCCATTGCAAAAAAGGAAACCCAGAAAACACTGCAGATATGGGCTCTCAGCAGGCAGCCTCTGATCCCTAATGGGCAGGCGAGGTGAATCCTACCTGTCTAATGGATTTTTGCAACCTGTTTAGAAAGTGATACTTACTTGAGATAATTCCTCATGAGATGGGAGTCTATGAGACAAGACTATGGGAGAATGCATTCTCTTTGTTTCATCTTAAAGCTAGGAAAGCCCCACGCCATTTGGCAGTGAGAAAGCTCCCTGCAGGAGAAACAAAGATCATCTCTAACACTGGTGACACAGAGGCTCAGGCCAAGCTTTGTGTCTCAATCCATCAGGACAAGGGCTAGTGCAGGATGTATCCCACTGCTCTTTCCAAGCCAAAAATCAGTCCAGTGTAACTGCGAGGGGTTTTGGAATCTGTAAATGAGATCCGCAAGTCTCAGGTCCTCTGAGAAGCTGGTACTCTGAAAAATCAGCTTTAGTTCTTTGTAACAACATGAACTATGAGTTTCCTAGCTCAAGGCTTATCTGAATTTTATCCTAGAAATCATTTTCTCTCTCTACTAAAAACCTAGAATCCCTAGAAACATTTTTCATGATTCTGATGATCCCGTAAATGTACAGAATTAGTTTTGGATAAGTAGAATCCAAGCTCTTCGAAACGTCTTAGGGCCACCATCAGAACAGGGATGGGATAGGCATGTGGCAGCTCTGCCCAACTGCATTTAAATGGATTTTCTTCAAACTTAAAATGGATGTTCCTCAAAAACAAAATCCTCATGCTGTCTTATGAAATGTTAAAAATTACATAAATTAAGAATTATGACTAAACGCAAATCAAAACCAAAACAATTTTAGAAAAAGAAACCTCTTTTTGTTTCATTTTGCTTTTCACTCCAAGCACAAGATACCAGTGTAAATGCTGACTCTACTTGCCCAATGCAAACTTGTTCATCTTAGCCAGGGGAGATGGAAAAGAAAATCTTAGGTCAAGTTCGATATCCGTCTTCCAGCAATGTTTTGTTTTCAGAACATGTATTTGCTTCCCCTCTTCCAGGTACTGATACCTCCCTTAGCGGTGCACTGCTCTCTCTCCAAACCTTGCCCTTCCTTGAGAATTACTAGTTTAAACTGAGAAATGTGTTAGGTTCCTCTGACCAGGGCTAACTTGGAGAAAGGCCAGTTCTTTCTAAAATCAGTTTGATGCCAGCTCCATAAAAATGAAGGCCGTTTATATCAAACCAAAGGGACTTTCCAGCTCTGAAATAGCTAAGCATAAATGTTTCTCCAAGGAAATTTTCTTTAGTGCCGACTCTGTTTAGTATCTCATCAATTAAAACTGGACTGAACAAATGCCATTTTATTACAACATTGCCGCAGTCCCTGGAGCCAGCCTGTCTGGGTTCATGCTCTTTTCCACCTGTGCGGCTAAAGGCATGTTCCTTTAACACCGCCTGCCTCAGTTTCTTTATGTATAAGAGAAAGATGAAAATAACTTTTTTTTGTTGAGTTGTGATAATTCAAATGAAATAAACCACTTAGCACAGTGACAATTGTCCATTTAGTATTAGCTGTCATACTCATTAGTCACTCATAGGTTTTCATCATTGAGGTTTTAGCTATTTTTTTTTCAGAGGAAACGAATCTCCTCTACCCCATTTCCTGTAGAAAGGAGATAGGTCAGAGCAATTACTGTGTGGCTGCTAGAACCAACCTTCAACATTCTGATTCTGGCTCTATCACTAGCAAACTGCATTATGTGGGGCAGGGTTTTAAACCTCCCTATGTGTCAGCATCCACAGCAATAAAATGAGGATAACAATAGTATCCCCTCATAGGATATTGTGAAGATTAAGTTAATGTTATGTAAAATATTCAAAGGAGTTCTGGGCACAGAGTGTTCATTCTATTACTGTAAGCTATTATTAGACTCTCTGCAGTGTGAGAGAATTTGTATCATATTATTTATTTAAAATCCCATACCCAAATGAAGTGATGCATTTAAGTACTTCTGTTATGCAAACTTAGGAGAATCCAGGGAATAAGGAAATCTCTTGGGGAATCTGTAGCCCACAGTCTGTGGAGGCAGGGGCTTGAGGCCGGCAGTCAGGGGAGCTGGGAGAGAACAAGCTATGTGACCTTGAGCAAGTGTCTGCATTGATTTGGATTTCAATTAAGTCAATGGCAAAATGACTGAGCTACAACCGGCCCTGAAATTCTAAGAACGAATGCATGGATATTCTTGTGCAGACATCCTTATGGCTATTTCAAAGCACGTGGTACATATCGTCCATCAGATTCTCATCTAGTCCATGTTCACTTCTGTTTCCTTCTCCCTGTAGATCCATGTGTTAAGTGCAGCATGGCATATTCTATAAGTATGAACTGAGGTTCTATTTCAGCTTCAACCACTGTGCTGTTGTCAATATAAAAAGAAATGGGGCTGCATTAACTGGTGGTTCAAGTGTTTGCACTGACATTGATTTGATGTGTGACTACAAGAAGATTATTTTAATTGGTGCCACCACCTCTCTTTTTCACAGGACATTACCATTTATGATGACGTTAATGAATTAGAGTTTATAATGTGCTTTGAAAAAATCTGAATGAAGAGTCCAACCGCAGTATAAAGGGCCATCAATTCATTTCTACATGAGATATCTCAGGACAACACAGAAACAGAAAGGCGAAAGTGCAGAATCCCATAGATGAAGGGCAAATGTAAGAGATTCCTCCAGAAGAGGCTTCTGGAATAATCTAATCATAGCAGAAGGTACAGGCTTTTGAGAGATGCATGTAATCAACTAAGTGACTTTTGTTTACTGTTATGATATTCCTGTTTCTCAGTTTTCTAGATAATGGTGAGCTGCAGGACAGAAATTCTGGTGGAAGAAAAGAGTCTAACAAACAGAGTGAGACTCCTGCAGAGAGACTGCCTAGAATCAAGAATAATTCAAAATTAGTTTTATTATAATATTTAAATATATATATGATATACATTTTTAAATTGTGGTACAATTTATACAGAGTGGAGCCCATGATTTTAGGTATAGGTATATCTCATCTTATTGCACTTCATTTCATCGTGCTTTATATATATTGTATTTTTTACAAATTGAAGGGATCGAGGAGTAATTTCACCTTTCAAGTCTTATTGAAGAAATACATTTTGTAAGGCTATAGCTAATATAGGTAGTGATTCCTCTGTTGGATATGGGCAAAGTAAATTAAAAACCTTCTGAAAAGGATTCATCATTTTAAATGCCATTAAGAGCATTCATGATACATGGGAGAAGGTCAGAATATCAACATTCACGGGAGTTTGGAAGAAGTTGATGTCAACCCCCGTAGATGGCTTTATGGGGTTCAAGACTTTGGCATAGGAAGTAACTGCAGATGTGGTGGAAATAGCAAGAGAACTAGAACAGAAGTACAGGAGAAAATGTGACTGAATTACTGTAATCTCATGATACAACATGAATGAATGAGGAGTTGCTTCGTATGATAAGCAAAGAAAGTGGTTTCTTGAGATGGAATTTATTCCTGGTGAAGATTCTGTGAACATTCTAGAAATAACAACAAATAATTTAGAATATTATATAAAGTTAGTTGATGAAGCAGCTGCTGGGCTTAACAGGATTAGCTCCAATTTTGAAAATTTTGCTTTGGGTAAAATGCTATCAAACAGCATCACATAGTACAGATAAATCTTTCTTTGTAAACAGAAGAATCAGTCAATGCAGCACACCCCATCATATTATTATTATTATTATTATTATTTTTTTTTTTTTTTTTTTTTTTTTTTTTTTTTTTTTTTTTTTTTTTTTTTTGAGACGGAGTTTCGCTCTGTCGCCCAGGCTGGAGTGCAGTGGCGCGATCTCGACTCACTGCAAGCTCCGCCTCCCGGGTTCACGCCATTCTCCTGCCTCAGCCTCCTGTGTAGCTGGGACTACAGGCACGCGCCACCATGCCCGGCTAATTTTTGTATTTTTAGTAGAGACGGGGTTTCACCGTGTTAGCCAGGATGGTCTCGATCTCCTGACCTCGTGATCCGCCCGTCTCGGCCTCCCAAAGTGCTGGGATTCCAGGCGTGAGCCACCGCGCCCGGCCTATTTTAAGAAATTGCCATAGCCACCCCAACCTTCAGCAGCCACCACCCTGATCAGTCAGCAGCTGTGAACATCCAAGCAAGACCCTCCCTCCACCAGCAAAAAATAAAAAAAAAAAAAGACTCACTGAAGCCTCAGATAATCATTCGCATTTTTTAGCAATAAAGTACTTTTAAATTAAGGTGTGCATGTTGCTTTTTTAGACTTAATGCTATTGCACACTTAAAAGACTACAGAATAGTGTCAACATAACTTTTATATGCACTGGGAAATAAAGCTGTGTGCCAATCGGTGTCAATCAATTTATTGAGATATTTTCTTTATTATGGGGTCTGGAGCCAAACTTGTAATATCTCCAAGGAATGCCTATATACAACTGGATGAGTTTTAACAAATCAATGTACCCCTGAAACCAACACTCCCATCAGAATGTAGAGCATTTCTGCCATCCCACAAAGCTCTCTCATGCCCCTTCCTGCCAATACTCATAGGCAATTAGTATTGTTTTCTGTAATAACACAGGTTAATTTTGCCTAGTTTTGAACTTCATATAAATGAAATTATATAGTATGTACTCTTTGGTGTCTTTCTCTCCACAAAAATATACTGTATTTGAGATGCATACATGTTGTTGCATTTACTTGTAGTTTATTATTTTTATTGAATATTAGTATTCCATCATAGGAATATACTGTGTTTTGTTTATCCATACTCTTGATGGATACCTGTCTTGTTTTCATTTTGAGACTATTAAAGAGCTAATGTGAACATTTTTATGTCATTGTGTATATATGTTTCCATTTCTTTTGGATAAATATGTAAAAGTAAACTTACGAAGTCTTAGTTTAGATTTATGTTTAACTATATTAAAAACTGCAATTTTTCCAAAGTGGTTTTATCATCTTACATTCCCATGTGCAAAGTATGACAATTTCAGTAGTTCTAATGCTCACCAATATTTGGTGTTGTCCGTCTTTTAAATTTTAACTATTTTAGTTGGTATAAAATGATACATCACTGTGATTTTAATATACAATTTCTTGATTACTAAAGATGTGGAATATCTTTGCATGGGACTATTGACCATTCACGTATCTTTTTTATAAAGTGCCTATTTTTATTGTTTGTGTTTATTTTTGATTTGCAGGAGATCCTCATATGTTGTGAATACAGGTCCTTTTTTAGATATATATCCTGAAAATATTTTCTCCCAGTCTATGTCTGGGGAACAAAAATTTTAAAATTTACCCTTTAATTTTCTTAGGTATATATTTTGATGAGCTGAATTTTTGTTTTCATTAAGTTGAATCTATTGATACTTTCTTTTATATACTTAGTGCTTTTGTATTCTAAAATATTGTTGCCTATTTCACACTTTCAAAGATATTTTCCCATGTTTTCTCCTAGAAGCTTTATAATTTTAGCTATTGTCTAGATTGATGATACATCCCAATTAATTTTTGTCAAGATTATAACTGAAAACTTTTAACTCTGCCAAGGCTGAACTACTTCACATAAAGAAGTCTTGGAGAATACCTTCTTAGATATGGTGCCACACTAAAAGTGGGTTGTTGGTGGTGGTGTGTTTTTTTTTTTTTTCGGGGGTGGGGCGGGAAGGGAGTGGCTTGCTACTCTCTAAATTCAACTAGATGAAATAAAATCTATATATTGGGAACACTTATTACATAGCAGAGACTCTCCTAAGTGTTTTACAAGTAATAACTCATTTAAGCCTCAAAATCCAGAAAACTAAGGCCTAGAGAGATTAAAGTAAACATATCAATGTTCACACAGTAAAGAAGTCGCTGAGCTAGAGCTCAAACCCTTACAGGCAGACTCCAGAGCCCACAGAATAAATCGCTACTGTATGTTGCTTAATTCTGTTAAATTTAATATAAACAACCTGGTTCAAAGTAGAATGATATTAAAATTTACTGGATGACTATTGCATCAGATAGCATTCTAGGCTGTTTTATCTCATGTAATTTTCAAAAATACCCTCTTTAGTACATACTATCAGGTTTTTAT
This sequence comes from Homo sapiens, assembly GCF_000001405.40. Taxonomy (NCBI): domain Eukaryota; kingdom Metazoa; phylum Chordata; class Mammalia; order Primates; family Hominidae; genus Homo; species Homo sapiens. Next base: position 79,046,715 of record NC_000014.9, on the reverse strand, counting down.
AGAGGAGGATATTTAACCTTAGAGAGTTAAGTAGCTTGAGCTAGGTCATAGAATCAACAGTGAGTCTGAGAGTCAAGACTGATTGTCTGATGAAAGTCTCATGTTTTTTGCACTACAAGATCCTATGTCCCCTGTGGACATCTGCATGACATATCACTGGAAGAAGCATACAGGGAGGGATTTGACAGAAAAATGAAGCTGATTTAGGTATACTCAGGCCTGTAGCACATTTCATTTAGGCAAAAAATTAGGGGAATATTTCCAGTCCAGGAGCAAGTCTTGAAGACCATAATCTTTAAGCCACAAGCATACTTACTCCTTGCTGATATGAGCTTCTAGACCTTGCTCCAAATCTCATGTCCATGCAAAAATTGTTAGATCCTCTCTGCACCTTGCTTCTTCTACTCATTGTCCTTTCTCAGGGACCATCATAGATCCCAACTGTGTATCTCAAATCTAAAGCATAAGCTGCAGCTACTACTGTCAGATCTAGAAGGAAAGGAAAGGAGAGGAGGGGAGGGGAAAGAGGAGGGGAAGGAAGCTTTCAGAAATGCAAAAGGTGTTATACTGGTGTCATGTTACTCCATTGCTTAAACCTAGATCAGTTGGTGAAAGCAGATTTTTATTATTTATTTATTGTTTTTGGTACCCATTAGATATACATATTTTCAGGGTACCTGGAATAATTTGATACATTCATACAATCACATCAGGGTAATTAGGATATCCATCACCTGAAATATTTATCTTTCCTTTACACCAGGAACATTTATTTGAATTATTATTCTCTTCTAGCTGTTTTGCATCAGCATCACTTGGGAGTTTTTAAAATATGCAAATTCTCAGGCCCCACCTCAGATCAACTAAATTAGAAACTGAACAAGATCACTAGGTGGTCCCGAGGCATTATCAATCACTGGCGAATAATATACACACCAAGCGGCAACTGGAGGAGGCAAATAGTATCCATGAAAAAACGTTATCTTGTTCACCAAATATTTCCTATAGGAGTATCATTCAGGTGGCACCTTCATAATTCTCTGAGCATCAATAAGCTGGAGTGATCTTTGCCATTTCACATGGATCACAGAATAAAAAGGCTGCTTTTATAGATCAGAGAGTGGGTGAGGTCTTCTCATTTGTGAGATGACGCCACAGAGAGAACATCCATGGGAACCCTTTGTTCTAGGTGGTTTAGGGAAAGCCCTGCCTCAGGGCTCTGAGTCACCTGCAGTCTCTGCAGCAGCCTTTGCTAGTCATTATCCTAGGACATGATTCATGCGGCTTGTGGGGATGCAGGCTTATTCTTTACAGTCCCATCAAGCTGTCATACCTCTGGCAAACAGGAAGGTGCAGTGCCTAGGATCAGGATTGGCCTTCTCTGTTTATGGCTTGCTCCCGGTCATAAATTTGGAGCAGAAGGGCAGAGTGATTGCCGATTGTTGAGGAGCTGAATGGGGAGCAGTAGGAGATGAAGAAGGAGGGGTGTGGGTAGCGCCAGAAAAAGCAAACACTGAGCCGGTGCCCCCTCAAGGTCACTTTGCTTTGGCAGGAATCAAACAAATAAACAGAAAACGGGGATTGGGGGAGTAGGATTGTCTCATTTCCTATATTTCTATGCCATTATGGGCATAGGTTTGATAAACTCTGGCCAAGAGAAAGTTGTTTTTGTTTTATATTTTCTTTTAAGAGACGCCATGGTTTTTATGACAAGGCCTAAGCAATGAACCATAAAATCAAAAGACACCATAGGCATTTTCTCATTGGTGCATGGGCTGCAAATCAAGAAAATAATTTGTAGTTCACCTGGCAGTAGTTCTAGAAGGAAAAAACTGGAAGAAAATGCTGAGAATGGTTATAGCAGGAGTGGGAAGAAAAAAAAAAAAAAAACTAGAGGTGCTAATCAGAAAGCCCCGGATTTGGCCAAAGATATAGTATATGGAACCACTGAGCTTATTAGACGATGCAGGTTGTACATATGTGTGGTATATATGTGTGTGTGTGTGTGTGTGTGTGTTCACTTTTGAGTCTATTTTCTGAGATAAAAACCATGGGAAGTATTTGGTAAAGCAGATGTAAACACTGGCTTAATTATAACAAGTCAACTATGTTTTCAAAAGTATTATCATCAACAGTAGTAATTATAGCAAACATTCATTAGGCATTCAACATGGGCCAGCCATTGTGCTATGAGCTTTCACTACTTCAACTCATTTAACCATCATCAAAACCTATGAAAAAGGTACAATCATTATTCTCCCTTGTCTTACACATGAAAAAGGGAGACTTAAGACTGTAAAGGTCTAACTTTTAACTCGGCCCAGGTTTCATAGCTAATTGGTAGCAAACTCAGGGAACTTTAACTCAAAACTCAGGACACCTTAACTCAAACTCAGGGAACTCTGGCTCAAAAAATATGTGCATATAACTACTGCCTCCCTCAACTTTCTATTTTACATTTGGGGACAATCGGTCACTAAAAGATTAAAATGCAACGTGTTTTCTCAAAAAGAATCAGAGATAGATGTTGAAAGTCTACCTCAAAAGAAGGCCTTATCTTACTGAGCGTAATTAGGTGGAAGACAAAAAGTCAGTGGTCTTATTTCAAAGAGTACAAACTCCATCACTGGCTTTTAGCCAGTGGGATTTTGCCCTACAGAAGACATGTGGAAATGTCTGGAGACATTTTTGTTTGTTACCATGGGAGAAAGGTGCTACTAATATCTAGTGGGTCATCCTCAGATGCTGCAAAGCATCCTTCAGTGCACAGGTAGTTTCCCCACATCAAAAAAGAATCCAGTCCAAAATGTCAAAACTGCCAAGCTTGAGAATCCTGATCTGAGGTAGCCACACTATATTCAGGAAAGGATCTTCACATGGTAGCTTTGAATTTCTCTCAGCGATGTCTCTCTCAAACATACCCTGTTATGCAATCAGAGACAAAAACGGCCTTTAACTGACACTTGATAGAACTAGATTCTCGCAAGTAAGGCAGCCAGTGTACACTCAAAAAGAACCACAAGCCACACTGCCGCCACCACCTAGAGGATGGCAGCCTACCCAAGACCTGTACAGCAGGAGCTGTCCCGGGCCATAGATCCCAAGATCCTAGGTGCTAGATGAACTTCATGAAGTCTACTGCTGTATCTCTGTGATTCAATAGTCCTCAGAAGTAAAGAATTTGGGGAAATTGGGTGAGTGTGCAATTTCAGGACCTCCAGTTGCTTTTCTTGCTGGAAGGGACACCAGGCCTAACTGAATAAAGAGGCAGAGTGCAAACTGCTTCACTTAAGCAAGCCATCTTTTGCTAAAATCTTGGATCCTGATCCGCCTCCACCCACATCCTTCTGGACTCTGGGCTCACGCTACAGGGTTGCTTTGTTCTCAAATCTAGTGGATACTTTCAGTATCTAAAACAGACTTTTGTCAAGAATTATAGGCAGGTGGTGTAGATGGGAGCAAACTGATGAACCATAAAGATGCCTGTAAAAAGAGGACCCATAGGGCAATAAATTGTACATGCTTATTAACCAATTCACTTGGTAGGGTTTTTGAAATAATTTAATATTTCTATAATTCCCACCACTTTCATTTTCTTTAATTCCTATTTCATTGTCTGGCTGCTTGATTTAACACAGGATTATTCTAACAAATTCCTGATTAACTTTTTTTAAGAAGTAAAGAAAAATGAAATGGCATTTGTTTGTGCTGTATGTTCTGAAGCTTTATTGGGCTGCTCACTGAGCAGAAATAAAAGATTTCTGACTTTGGCTAGCCATTCTACTGCAGTGATAATTAAGCAAAATCTTACCAAAAAAAAAAAATCCTTTTGCTGCATTTTGATTGGTTTCTCTTGTGCTAGTTGCTCCCTTTCCAGGACAGCAGGACAGGCCATACCAATTTACAAGAATTTGCAATAACCCAGATGGCAGAGCTTTACTGTTAAAGTGAGCAGTGTTAGCTACTCCCATCACAAATACACACTTGCCATACCTTTCCTATTCTAATTTTCAAATCAGCATTAAGGATCATAAAGAATGAAAAGGATATTCCATCTGAAAACAATCTTATATTTCAAAATTAACATTTAATAATACATACTCCCATTCTATTTATTACACATATTAATGTCTATAAAAGAAAAACACAATGTAAAATGGCCCATCCAGGCCAGGGCAGTGTACTAGCATGAGTATGATTTATGGAGTCAGACAAAATGGAATTCAAATCCGGATCCATCATCAGCAAGCCATGCAAACATGGGTAAATTACTTAGCTAGTCTTAGCCTCAGTTTTCTCATCTCTAAGGTAGGGATAAGGCAAACCGTGCATTAAGTATTCATCCAATAAATGCAATGTTTTTTATCCTTGCAAGATGACCTCCTCCAGAACCTGGCTCAAGCTTGCTTAACGTGTTTACTGCTTAATGGAGAAAAAGCCATCAGCCTAGCCTTCCAGTTTTGCAGGTACTCCTACAGAAAATGATAGGAATCGTTGGAATATTTAGAGAACCAGCTGCATGTAAGGAAGACTGACAGGTCCCCATCACAGTTGCTTGTCTTTCAAAGAGCAGCTACCCCATCACTGAGGAGTGGAATGTTTGGTTAGATAAATGACAAGGCCGGCTTTCCTTTTGCAACAATACCCTACCGGGCTAACTTTGGTTTCCTCTTGCTAGGCATATCTGTTTCTCCACTTTGCTTTTTCCTGTGTTGCCTTGTCCTTTTGCTTTTCTCTCCAGGCTATCTCTCACATTTTTTTAGTTGTTCACTATTCTTCTAACATTCCCTCCCCTCCTATTCTTCTCTTTAAGTATGTACTTACTAAGTGATACCACAATTCATGATGACAAACCCTAGAACATTAGGAGATCTGGCTAATCCCAGAATCATTATTTATATAAATCTTTGTATTAGAATTATGACTTATGGTAGCACCTTTGCATTGTGAAGTTGATGAAGTGACTCACTCTTCTTTTTACATTGCTTCCATTATGATATAATACTTCATGTGGCACCTTCCTGCTTAAGTTTAATGTTCCAGAAAGAAGTGAGCCTCACTTTCCTTACTGAAACTCTCAAGAAGAGGTTAAGTTCACATTCAGGTATTTTTATAATAATAATTTTAAGCACAAGGATACTGAGACACTAATGAGTTGAATAATTTTTTAGCATATCCCAGAACCCAAGGCTATATTAAGACATATTAAGAACTTATCTCCCCTAACCCTAGGCCCAGCACTTTACGAACAAAATTACATTTACTCATAGTGCAGCGCACTTTCTGCGGATGTGGTTATCCATTCTAATTATGGTGTCATAATGGATCTGCTCCTTGACTTTAAATAATCCTTTCCCAAATTTAACGGGTCACCTAAACTCAGCTACTATCTCTATGAATGAAAGTACCTGCTAAAAACCATGCTCTTTGACATACATTATTTCACAAAAATTTCTGAACTATGGATTATTATGCTCACTTAGCAACCCAAAAAACTAAGATCCAGGGAGAAACAGTGACAATAATGTGCCAAGTATTGAGAAAGCTCTGCAAAAAATGTTTTTTAAGCACATAGCCCAAAGTCAACAGCTATTAAAAGGAAAAATCAGGATTTGAACTCAGGTATTTTTACTGTTACATCATTATGAGAGAGGAGAAAGGAAGAAAGTGGTCAGGCAGGCAGTTAGGGTGGGTCCTTGGCTGAATTCTCTCAAAGGAAAGAACAGCCTGCAGGCACAGATAAGGGAACTTGGAAAATGGGACTTGCCTAACTAGGACATGCCCACAGCCACACAGATAAGAAAGGCTAAACAGGTGACTTGCCCAGACATGCCTGCAATGAAAAATTCCACCTCAACACATGTGCAGTAAGGGGAACAAAGCAATATGGAGTAACTCAAGCTAAGAGCCCACATGCGCATTAGGAGGACAAGGTGGAGCTACCAGAAATTCACACCTTATGCACATGAGACACCCAGCCCTCATCAGTTTCTTTTGCATTCAACTGTAAAAATGGCAACCCTCTTCCGGGACCCCTCTCTGTGGTGGAAAGCTTTCTTTCTTCACTTATTAAACTTTCACTCCAACCTCACCCTTTCTGTCCATGCTCCTTAATTCTCTTGGTTTTAAGACAAAGAACTCTGGGTAATGCCTCACAACAAGAGACTTTTCCAAGAATGCTTTCCCCACTATCTTTATATATGAAATTGTACCATGCACCAGTCTCAATTCATATATGACAATATTCTTCCAGGAACTTTCTCATGTTCCCCTAGTGTTTGTCCATTCTTCTTCACCCATCTTTTTCTTTGTAGCCACAACATTTTGGTTAAATCTTTGTTAGAACATGTAACAAACTTTTCTTAGCGTTAGAAGTATTTGTTTACATTTCTGTCACTCTAAGAGCTTTTATTCATTCAGGTATACATTAATTTTTAGAACAACTATTGGGCCTGCTATATGCAGGACACTGATGATATGCAGGCCAAAAACTTAGGCAGGATTCCTGATCTTAGAGAGTTTACTTTTGGTTGGAGGAGATAAGACAGACAGGCATTTAACAAGGTAACCAATATCCAAAACAATACCAAAATGTGGTCATTGCTATAAAGGAAATTATCCAGGTAATGAGCGAGATGGGAACTGTGGAAGGCCACTTCAGATTAGCTGTACACTTCCAGTGAGTGACAAATAATTTGAGATCTGAAGAAAGATAATGAAAAGATGGCTCAGGCCTATAATCATAGCACTTTGGGAGGCTGAGGCAGGAAGATCATTTGAGGTCAGTAGTTTGAGACCAGCCTGGGCAACCTAGCAAGATCCTGTCTCTACAAAAAGTACACACACAAAATATATATTTAGCCAGATATGGTGGCATGCACCTATAGTCCTAGCTACTTGGAAGGCCGAAATGAGAGGATTGCTTGAGCCCAGGAGTCTAGTTTGAGATTAAAGTGAAGTATGACTGCACCACCGCACTCTAGCCTGGGCAACAGAGCAAGACCCTGTCTCTATTTAAAATAAAAAAGAATATGAAAAAGCACATTACAGGTAGGGACTGCATGAATCCTGGCCTGGGGAAGGAGAAGTTTGATTGAATGTGGTGAGACATTAGCCTGGAGAGGTAGACAGACGGACAACTTTTTATCTCTCAAACATAACAGAAAAAATGGTGTGGTGCAGAACATGTGTTTCAGAGGCATGCATAATTGGGTCCAAAAGCTGCCTTGTCCCTCAGAAGCAGTGTAAATTTCCTAATCTCTCTTATTCTCAATATTCTCATATGAAGAAAGAAAAGGAAATAAGGGGGATAAAAAAGCAATACAATTGTTGAGTGGAAACTGTTATATTAATCCTCAGTTGGAAACCAGTAGGCAAAACAGTTATGGGTTCCATTAACATACAGAAAGAGAAATTACCTAAAATTAGACCTGAGCAAATGGATTTTTCTCAGTGAGTACATCATTCACAGTCAGTTGAAGTTGATAAAAGAACAGAAGGATATAGGCATGTTTTACTCTAAGAATCCACTCCAAGACAAGGAAACCTCTATATTCCATAGATACAGTTCCAAGTTTTGTGATTATTCTGGGGCCTCTCCTAAGAATGAAGAGTTCTTTCGGAGACACCTTTCCTCTCTGTTACGTTCACAGATGAGTACAGCACTCTCAAACACTGACACTGGTTGTGTTTTTGTTTGGGTTCTAAAAGTTGAACATATTTAACAATATTCTTCTCTAAACCCAATTTACCATCCTCCCTACACTCATTAAAGATGGCATTCCAGGGCTCTTAGCCACTCGTTGAAATAAATAAATCATACTTTATGGCAAATAAAGATGGAAAATTTTCCCAGAGATCCAGATGGAACCAGGGAACGAAAGGCCAGGTAGCGAGGGATTCCTGCTCGCCTGTACTTCTGTTAACCAGTCGGCATCAGTGGAAAACTCTCCTGGGAATTCATTTGGATGTAAATAAGGCTCCTTTCTGCAAAGGAAAAGTCTAAAGCTCAAAGAAATAACTGGTGTTTTGTAACACTTTTGGAAGATGAAGCCAGTCATTCATGCCCAACAAGAAAAAACTACAAGCAGTCAACAATTACCTAGAGATAAAAATAGCAAGGAGAGCATACCCATTATTAGAAGTAAACTCAGAAATTTGGAAGCAATTTTAAGTGGAAAAACAGAAACCTGCTGAAAAAATTTTGGTCCTACAAAGAAATCTAAACTCTATTATTTTTAACTGAATAGCCACATTCAAAAAATAAGGTAACAATATATGTGTTTTTGTAATTGAAAAAGCAATCCATTTGATCTTTGGGTTAGTGGCCTAAAACAACCCCAATTTCACATAAAAATTTCTTCTCCACTATTAAGGGTAAGGCTACTAAATTTTGCCAGGAGAGAATAAACTGCTTATCTCTTCTCTATCTTTTCATTCCACATTTTTATGCCTTTCGGTCTCTGCTTGTTGACTCTGGGATGTGGAGAAAAAATAACGTTCTCAACAGTTTTTCCCAGATAAATACTCTATAAATTGTAAGTAATGTTCCCTGTATTCAATGGACATTCAATATATTATGTGAAAGAACAGGTCTGAGTTTTTACATGGTGGTATTTATTGACATTAATAATTACATGGATTTACAAATATTCATACACACCCCCTTCATAGAATGCCTTAATTAACTTGTCCAGGATTTGGAATCCCAACAGTCTACAAAGTCAGCAGGATCATTAAACCCAATCATATTTTCAGCCTAACCTGATATTTCACTAGAGTCATTCAAATCAATTTACCCAACAGAGACATTTGTCCCTGGCCTGTCACCACAGCCCGTACCAGCGTCCTACACTTCTTTATCTTTTGGCAGGGCCATCATAAGCGAGCGACACAGAGGGTGATATATGAGAACTCAAATAAGTCATAAATCCCACAACCCTTCATCTCCCGTCAGGCGGACTGAATTTACGCCCACTGGCCTTGGCAATGGCTCTTAGCTCAGCTCCAAGAAAGTCAACTTAAAATGACACACTCTTTTAGGAGTGAATCTCCTCTCAATGTGGCACTAGGGAGAGGGAGAATACTGAGCAAGGAGGAAGGGAAGGTGTCAGGACACTCTATTCTCTAAGATGGGTAGAGGCCACTAATCTCCTTTTTCTTTAGAATTAAAATGCCTTTGCAGGACAACCTCCATCCTTGCTTCACCCCGATTTTAAGTGACCAGAAATCATCCCTTTTATTTTGCTTCTAATTGGCATAAATGGTGGAAAATTAAGAAGGGAGGAAGTGGTACTCAGATTATATGTGGCTGTCATACACCATGATAACAAAGATTTGCCTAAAAAACACAGGGGAAATGGGCTACAGGTGCTCTGTAAACTACGGAAGCAGGTCTTGTAGCTGAGAGCTTTCTGCCTGTGTATTTGAGCATGTGTGCACATGCGCGCACTTTTTATCTCAGCTTTGGTTGAAAGCAAGGCATTCAACAGGAGATTTGTCAGGCTCAAAGGGTCCTAATCTTTAGGTGAATCTTCCCTGATATCTTATAGAATCTCCTGGGGGTTTTACATAAGAGTCTGTTTCTGGATGAAGAAGCTAGAGCACTCCCTTCCTCTTTCCTCTTCTCAGAAGAAAACATTATTTTTAACCCAGGTGAATTATAAACAAATATGGTCCCATTTAACAAGAAATTAGGAATTCAGAGTAAATCAAAGGTACTAGAAGTTAGGAAAAGGAATTGAAATAGTGGTCGGCAATTGTTTCAGACACTTTCAAATATTTTTATCCCTCTAAGAGAAGTGGGTGGAAATTTTGTCATTTATAAGGTACATCGAAATTAACCCAAGGAACTCCACCTGGTCCCGCCTTCCCTTCCATTCATTTTGGTAGTCAACAATACTATAAAAATAGTCATCATGCCTTTCCCCCATACACCTCATTATCTATCCTTCTTAGTATACATCTTGAGTAATGCAATTTACTTCAACGTCACCAAGAAAGCCAAGTTCCTTCGGGACTGTCGTTATCATAAACCACAATCTGCTACCAATTTATCTGTCCTTAGCTGCTCCTTGTTGTAACTTCCTTAAAAAAAAAAAAAAAAAAAAAAAAAAAAAAAAACCCAAAACGAAAACAATACAATAAAATAATGATGAAGCAGTTTAAGTCCTGGTTTCTGTTCACTCCTGGGACTTTTCCATTTTAGTTGTTGTTTTGTTTTTGTCACAGTATTCACCCATAACTCATCTAGGAAATAAAACTAGAGATGAATGGAGAACATACCATTCCATGTCCTCCCCCTCACGCAAGTCTACATACACCAGCACCATGGTGAAGTATCTATCATACTCTCGTTTTACTTGTGGAATATTTTTTTCTTATTTTTAGAAAGGACATTAGAACAAGATCATATATAAATTTAAGGCAATCAGTCATGGTGTTACTTTAAAAGAGGAAGACGATTGGTGCTTTGAAATTGTGTTATAAGAAGTTGGAGGTGGGGGGGAAGTATCTTGCTGAATACCATATAAACAACCAACTGAGTTCTGAATAATTACAGAATTATATTTCTCTTACATGGCCTAATGCATTTAACAGTGTGGAGTAAAATGCAACTGTCCTCCAACAAGGAAAAACTACCATGTAAAAACTACGATGTTTTTCTGATTTCAAGAAGAAAGTGACAGCATCAAGATGAATGATATAATGGATGATTAATTTTTCCTCCTGAAAAGATTTAAATTCCAACCAATAGGGTTATTAACTAGATACTAAAATTCTACTGTTAGCATTTAAAATACCTACACATCCACATTTTATATTTGTTTATAAAGTAGTGGGGGAACAGTTAGTTCCATCCATCCCCCACAAACAAAAATAAATTGAGAAGGATGCATTTTACATCCAACTAGAAGTAGCAATACTTAGATATAGAAGTAGAGGGATGAAATGTTGCAGAAAATCTCCAAGATTTATTTGGGTGAATGCCTCTGGGCTGGTGATTTTATTTCACACACACTTGTTCCACTGTGTAGAAACGGAAATCATATAATTTAGATTGAGTTAGATTCAGGTTTTAGGAAATTTGACCATGTGTATCTCTCAACATACAGAAAGGAAATATGGTACAGTTATGGATCTAAACCCTTTGGGTTTCTGAGATTAAGATGCTGTATAAGTATATAGCATATTTTACCAAAAATCTATGATTTCTATGAATATGTGCATGTAGGTGATGGACAGAAATAGGACCTTTTCTTTTCACGTGAATGGCTGTCAAAGGAGAATATCAGATACATTTCATGAAAAGACCAAATATGGCACGTTTTATATAATGAAAAGAATACATCAAGAACCTTGTGAAAATGAAAAATGAGACAAGGCTATAGAGTGAGGCCTATTAAAAGGACAGTCCTCACTTAAAATAATTTATCTTAATATCTTCATTCTTAACCACTGTACATGAATAAAACTTTGATTTTACCTATTTTCTGTCAAATTTATCTTGCCTGCTGGCATTTTTCAATTTACCTCTGATAGAATGGACTTAACAAATTAGCTTCCATTTAAAAAATAGGTTTACATTTATAAGAGGAAAGGGCCTTATAAAAGTGTAAAAGAGCTAAAGTTGAAATTAAAGTTGATATCAGGATTTGTTAGTTCTGCCTGTTTTATTTAACGTGCTATTTAAGTCTGAGGTAAAATTCTTAAATGTAAGATGCTTCGATAATCTTACTCCACATGGCATCAGTAAAAAGTTAATCTCACAGATGATTCTCCTATTTGTTCTCCAGAGCATTTGCTTGGAATGTGGAATCATTTAAGAATAGTTTACATCAATGATTCCTAACATTTAACTCTTGTTAGAGTCAAAGAGAATGTTGTATAAAACTCAATTTTATATAATCCCAGAAGTTTTCGTCACTTCTAATAATCACGTACAATTTTTAATACATCTGAAATTATTGTTTTAAACTCTCAGTTATCAAAATGTACTCTTAAACCCCACAGAAAAATAAACCAAACTAGATTACTCAGAAAAATGTTATTATGTGTAACAAGACTCCTATCTTACCAAATGTTTATCAAGACATCATAACACCTTGTTTTTCCTAGTACTTTAGATTTTACACCTGCTTTCAGTCTTTCTCATTTGACTCTCCCATCCCAAGTGCGGAGCAAGGGCAGATGCCACTTTTCCTATTTCCCAGATGGTACAACGGGGCTCAGACAGTTAAGCGACTTGCCCCAAAATTGTTCTTCTCACAAAATAAAACATCTAAGTTCTTTAAACTTTTAAATGTCTTCTCTTAACATGTTTTTTTTCCAAAAAACCTGTGTGTGTGTGTGTGTGTGTGTGTGTGTAAGAAATAAGAACCATAATTATAGTACTAATTCCAAATGGGATGGTTTATGGCTTAACAGAATTGACCTTGTAAACAGAGAACTATTAAAAAGTTTCTATTTTTGAAGTGGCCTCTACTCAGGGTAGAATCTTAAACATGAGGGAGCATAAGAGTCACAGGAGAACTCAGTACAAACTTTGGCTTTAGTCTCACATTCATAGACTGTCTGATTTAGAAGGCACATGTTGAGGCTCCAGGAATCAGTCATTTTAATTAAGTGACCCTGGGGTTTTTGAAGTGGGTGATAAGAAATCCTAAAGTCATATTATGTCCACATAACCAGTGAAATTTGGGGCTGTGCCTTTTAAGGCCACTATGCAACCCATCTCCTCTGCTCAGAGAATACCACTGGAGGAGAAAGGTAGAAATATTTATATGGAGACAGGTTCTAATAGCTAAAAGAATTCTCATCCCTGAATGGCTTCAACTTGTGATGGTTGATGCCCATTAAGAGCTCCGGCTGAAACTAGTCTACCCAGAGCTGAAGGCCTCATTGTGTCTCTCACAACCTCCTGAAATAATCCTAGAATCAAGAGGAAAAAAAGACATCTTGGTTACTAACTCAGACTTGTATTTTCCAAACTGTGTTTCTTATTATAGCTCTTTAGGGCACTATAATTGAGTTTTCCAATATATTACTAACGACAGGTTTCATAATCTGAACGGTTTGGAAAACTCTAGGTTGTACCTGCTTGCCCACTGCAGTAAGAGTGAGGTTGATCAAAATATAACTCTTTAGGAGAGACATATTCCTGATTCCATATATTACTTGGCCAGATACTCATCGTTCCAGATATACCTATGAACATCTGGAAGATACCAGAGTTCCATGAAGACACCTGCCTACTCATAAACACATAAGCCTCTAACATGCAGATATTTGGTAATATGAGCTATGCTACACTGTTCCCTTCAGTGGATGCTTGAGGTTTCCTCATTCTGCAGAGAATGAACCAGGTACTGTGCCAGGTGACAGAGCTGCAAAGACAAACAGAGCTGAGTTTCTGCCCTCAAAGTGTATGCATTGTAGAAGGAAGAATAGGGAAGCAAACAAGTAAATACAAGGTGTGAAATGTACGATAGAGGTTAACCCTGCATTTAAGAGGGGCATCTAACCTGCCATGCAGAGGAGTGGTAGAAGATGATTCCTGGAGGAAGAAAAAGTCAGAAGTCCTGAAAGTCAAGTAGGAGTCAGTCTAGTGATGGGGACAAAGGGAACAGCATGTACACGTTCTAAGAAACTCAAAACAATCCAGGGAAAAATGAGAAAAGGGCAGTGCGAAGGGATGAGTGTCTAGAGGTGGCAACAATAGTAACAGTTAACATTAATTGAAGGTGCCATTTCTCTACAAATCATCTTAACTGGTATTAACTAATTTTTCCTACTAGTAACCCTATGAAGTAAGTGATGTTATTATCCCTGTTTCACAGATAAAATAACTGAACCATAGAGCAGTAAAATTACTTGCTCCAGGGCAAAGAGATAGATAAGAGAGGAAATTAGGATTTAAACACAAATTCTAGTGCTTAATTTCCTACCACTGCATACTATACTGCATTTTATCCTGAAAGAAATGAAAAGTCATTGACTAGTTTTAACCAATGTATTGCTAGAAGAACTAACTAAATAGCTGCAAGGTGGAGAATGAATTTAAGTGGAAGAAAGATGAATGCCTAGAAGTCAGTTATGGTGTGGCTTAGCCCTAGTGAGTGGATATATTTAAGAAATATCAAAGTGGAATTAACAGAACAAGTGAATTGACAGATGTCAGTTTCCTCTCTAAGGCTCAGGTGAGAGTATGCTCCCATGTCATGTACTTTATTTACTTTTTGCCCCTTTGAGTCAGTTCTGTTTATGGTAGAAACATTGTTAGCTGAAACAGTGACATTTGACAATTTATGAGATTCCTAATCAGCTGAGAGCTTTGTAAAGGAGAAGATCTTGCCTTAGTATTATTCTTATTCCCAACCATAGCACAATGACCATAGAGGTAAATGTTTAATAACGACTTGATGCCTGGAATTTGATTGAATGTAATTGAATTCAATGTTATTGCTATAAATTTTAGCAAGCTTCAAGTTGTTGGAGGCATGTGTGATTTTTCAGAGAAAATAAATTTCCCACCTAAAATATCAAGTACCTTTAAATACTAATTGCATAGAGTTGACTTTTTGATAGTGTATTATTAAGGTTAATGAGGTTCAGACAGGGAACTGATGAAATTTATCCTGCACTAGAGAGAAGAGAAACATTCCCTTTCCTTGTTTAGTTCCTACACCTCTGTCAAATTTCCATCCTGGTTTTCTCAGTTTTTTGTCTTAGTCCGGTTGGGTTATTTTTTTGGTCGGAGGGGAGGAATGTTCAGAAAACCTAACAGACTTCTTCACAAACCTCTGCAGTCTCAGCAGCCATTGCTTTTTCCTGCACCACGTTTAAACAAACAGACAACAACAACAAAAACTGGAGATAATTTGATTAATTTACATATGGTCCAATGAAGATCCATGTTTTTAACATGTTTATACTATAAAATAAACTTTACTGTTTACAATTCCCTCTTGTTTTGTTGAGCCAAAATGATTATAAATTGTAATTAACTCTTGATACTGAGTTTGATTTTGGATACACAATATAAACAATCATTAAAGAAGGATTAATTTGGCTACACCAGATGGAATCCAATCTGTTTCGCAAGTATATTACGATTCTCACTTTCTTCCAAAAATGAGAAGATCAAATAGTTTTCAGTCCTTGTGAACCTTATAGTGCCCTCATTTTGTTTCGAAATTCTTTAGGAACCAAGGGAAAAGTCAGGTACTTTGCAAATAGCCAAATCCTACTCTTATAGTTTCTTATTCCCAAACATTACCTAAAACACTTTATCTATCTCTAAAAATTATTGATTTTATTTCTCATAGCTTTGAGAACAAATTGATTCTAATAATGTGTTACCTATTCATTTTCTAAGATAATTGCTTTATAATGAATCATTTAAGTTCTATTTTTATTTTACAAAGTTAACAAAAGGCTAAATATTTAACCTTGCTGGATTTAATATTCTAAGTTTTATAAAAGTTCGATTATATAAAGTAAAACAAACAATTGCCTCTGAGCAGTTAACTGAAAAGTCCATTCCCTGACCTCCCCTTAGGATTACCATTCAACAGAAGTAAAAGGTTTCCATTACATACCTGAGAAAAATCCTGCTTATAGAAAGAGATCTTGATAGAAACTTAATCCAGATGGGCCATTTTCAAAAGAAAGGCAGAAAGGGGAAGGGAAGTCAATAGAGGAAAAAGGCAGTCACAAATAGAAATGTCATAACAACATATCGCTATTCTCCAAAAGTAGGAGGAGACTATAAAAAATAGCTGGAAAGATACAAACAGAGAGAGGCAGTCCAAAAGACAAGCTGCCACACGAAAAAAGACCCAGAAACACAAATAGTCATTAAAAGGATGATAGCGACTGGGGAGATAAACACCAAAAGGCTAAACCATAAAATGAAATTGAGATCTAGGTAGTAAGATATTGATAATAGCAGAGAAAGACAGTTTCCACACCAAAATGAAATCAGGAAGACAGAGACACAAAAGCAATAAACATGGAAAGAAAAAATAAAAAGTAGGAACCTCTACAATGAAAAGCTAAAAAAAAAAAAAAAAAAAAAAAGACACAGAGAAAGAGACAAAAAGCCATGTACCTGTACAATTTGAGGTATTAGAAATCACTAAGAGTCTTTTGAAAGTAGAAAACTGCAAAGATACTTACAAATAAAAAAGATTGAATTGTAGAAGCTACAGGCATTTGGGAAAAGGCTGCAGCTAAATTACACCTTGCCCTTGAGGGTGGAGAGGAGGGGTTTGTGAGCAGGTGTCAAGGCAGGGTTCTGGGGGTCAGCAGGATGCTCGGCTGCTGAGTGTCCAGTCTTTCCCTGGGAATCTGAATCAATGGTTTAACAACAGTCTATCCTGAAGAAGTGATTCTCAACTGGGAACAATTGTGGCCCTCTCCAAAAGACATTTGGCAATGTTTAGAGATTTTTTTATTGTGACAATTATGTTGGGGGGGCTACTACTGGCATCTACTATGTAGAGGCTAAGAATGCTGCTAAATGTTCTATAATGGGCCAGGCGTGGTGGCTCACACCTGCAATTCTATTCTTTGGGAGGCTGAGGCAGGTGGGTCGCTTGAGCTCAGGAGTTCAAGACCAGCTTGAGCAACATGGTGAAACCCTGTTTCTACAAAAAAAAAAAAAGAAAGAAAGAAAGAAAAAAAAAAAGAAGAAAAAAAATTAGACGGGCACAGTGGTCATGCCTGTAGTCCCAGCTACTTGGGGGGGCTAAGACAGTAGGATCAATTAAGCCTCAGAGGCAGAGGTTGCAGTGAACTGAGATCATGCCAATGCACTCAGGCCTGGGTGAAAAAAATGAGTCCCTGTTTTATAAATAAATAAATAAACAAACAAACAAACAAACCATAATGCACCATACAATTGCCCCAAAGAATTATCCGGTCAAAAATGTCAATTATAGCCCTCTCCAAGGGGCATTTTTGGGCCTCTACAAGGGGTATTTGGCAACATCTGGAGATATTTTTATTGTGACAATTAGTGTTGGGGAGGCTACTACTGGCAGCTACTGTGTAGAGGCTAGGGATGCTGTTAAATATCCTATAATGCATAGTACAATCCCCTCAAAGAATTAACCAGTCAAAAAATGTCATTGGCATGGCTATTGAGAAATACTGTCCTGCATTCTATTATCACAAGGAAGAAATCTTTTCCATCCATCTGTAAACTGGAATTTGCCATTCCTGAAACAGAATAAAGAATTTCCATGTCAAAGTCTTAGA
Organism: Homo sapiens; assembly: GCF_000001405.40. NCBI lineage: Eukaryota > Metazoa > Chordata > Mammalia > Primates > Hominidae > Homo > Homo sapiens. The sequence continues at coordinate 79,029,453 of NC_000014.9, read as the reverse complement.
AAGGGTCACCTTCCACCCTCTTGACTTTTGGGTGTCGGGGCAGGAACCGAAAGAGATCTGAGCAATTACCAGTTACAACAGTAATATGTTTGCAAATAATAAGTTTGACAATATGCTTTATTTAATCAGAACCAGTATTATTATTATTGAAAACTAAGCAAATAGATGCTATATGGTTACACTGGCTACAAATTAATTGGAGACTTCTTTTGATACCCTGGGGCAAGTAACCACCACAAACTCAACTCAAACATATCATGCAGAATAACTGATATACCATATTTCCTCTCTCTTTCCTTTCTTCCTTTCCATTCTTTTTTCTTTTATTTCCTCCCTCCCAACCCCCTTCTTTTCATTCTCTCTTTCTTCCTCTCTCTCTTTTTCTTTATTTCTTCCTTCCTTGCTTTCTTCCTTGCCTTCTTTTAAGCATATTTATCACTATTTTTTCCTATGACATTTTCCCCTAGAGATCTCCCAGACTGGCTGAGCATAGCCTCATCCCCATCCCAATGCTTTCTCTCTGTAAAGATTTCTGCACTTGGTCTGGAACAAGAGTTACATTTAGAATGGATCAGGCAGTGAGAAAAGAGCAAAAGAACTATACCCCTTCATGGTACCTTCTGTATGCAGCACGGAGGCTATGGTAACTCGTGGATCAATGGATTAATTCAAAAGTCCTCTCCATGCTCTTCTCATTTCCCTGAAACTCCAACCAATGACTTCCCCCTTCCCTGTCAACATCCTAACCAACCATGACTCTCCTCCACTGTAGAAACCTGGAAATTATTTACGTCCACATTTGTATTCTCTCTCATCTGTCATTTCCCAAACACCAGTCATTTATACTGCAGTAAACAGTACATTAGCCACCAGACAGTTTCTAATCTGTCATCTCTTTTGTTTGATCCACTTTATCTATTCAACAGAGGAACTGCCTAAAAAGACTTCCTCTTACTAATGAGTCAGACGTTTAACCTTGCTCACAGTTTTGTCTTGGGCAACTTGGGTAGAGGGTGTTGGAAAGCCAAAGTATGATTTCCCTTCTCTCTGTGATTTCCCTTTCCAGACTGCAGTGCAGATAAGATGTTTAAAGAATTCTGAAAAAGAGCTCAAAATGCAGAAGTAGACCACTTAGCGCTGTAATGGTAGAAGTAATTATTTGATTTCAGTACCTTATGTTAGCTCTTGAGTCCTGCCAAAACATGAAGGGTGTGACAAATAAGAAGAGAGATAGGCTCACCATGTTTTCCAAAGGCCAGAGTAGTGAGTTGGGTATCAATGTTCTGGTCCTGTTTCTGCCACTAACTTTCAGCATACCTCAACATAATAATAAGAGCCAATATTTATTGGATCCTTCGTACATGTTACAGTAAAACGATTTACATATATTATTTCAAATTTTCCTCATAAAACATTATGGAATAGGATAAACAATATTATCATCCCCATTGTATAAATTAGAAAAAATAAATCTAGTAGAGATTAAATAACTTGCCCAAGGCCACACAGCTAGTAAGCAGTAAGCCAAAAGCTTATGTTCTAGACTACCCAACTCCAAAGACAAGGTCTAAAGCAAGTTCTTCACATTTTGTGGGGGAAGAGGGGAAGAGGGTAGAAAAGGACTGGTGGATTCACATTCTTTCCTTTGGATTTGATAAAAGCTATGCATCTTTTTAGACTATAACACATGCAAAGAAAAGACACATAACATTCCTGGCAATTCACAAACTGAACTTGGTAACAACATCCTTTCCAGAGCTGAAGTTCAATGACTCCCTGTCTATGTAGTTAATCTGGTGGCTTGGCCCTTAAGTAAAAAGGACATTACATTCTAGAGACCTCAATCCAGACAGTACTGTAAATGTTATGGTCATATTTCAGGCAAGCGACAGCTAACTGCTAGCACACAGCAGCAACCTTCAATTTGTATTAACCTGCACTGGCATTATAACTAGCAACTCGAAGTAACAGATTCTTTATTCTAGATCCAATTCTGCATCCCCAAGCCATCCAGTCCCCCAGCTGTTCCCTTTTCTATTTTGCTTTGTTTCATAAAGATAGTCATTTAACTTCCCGTCATCTTCAGCTCCTAATTGCCACAACCAGATGGAATAACTCACTGCTGGGTGAATCTGAGACTATTTCATTCTGTGACATTGACCGAGAGAGTCTATGTCCCCATAGGAGAAATCTGATTGAATCACTTGCTTACTATTCCTCCCAACATCTGGTAGGGTGTTGCTTTTCCTTTTATCAAAAGAAAAAAAAAGAATATATGGCTTTTTAACACATTTCAAATAGATATAAGTAAAGTTTTTAAAATATCTACAGATATAGGCTTCTGTGCCAACAAGTTTTAAAAAAAAAAAAAACTTCAATAGAATATATGGAAAATGTTGTCCTGCTTTTTGGGGTAGTGGGAGGTGGGTAGGCTAAGAATGTGCTATGATATATATATATATATATATATATATATATATATATATATATATATATATATATAAAATTATAATAGTTATATATATATATACTTTTTTTTCTGGGATCACGCATGATTCTGGCACATGTGCCTCTTTTGCAGATCTTGCTAATTGGATTTCACTCTGCCATTCTCTCTCCCAAGTGCCACTTTTCAGAAGCAGGGTTCCTGTGTGTGATTTGAGGTGATAGGACTGTAGAGCTGATGGGCCCACAAATTGTTATTGATCCTCATTAAACACCTGAGATGTGTGAGTTATTTTCACATACCTTAGTATCCATGGGTCAACACCTTCACAAACATTCAGAGATTTCCTTTCCACTCAATTACAAGATAAATAAATCTAAAACACTCCTGCAGTTCCGTTACTGGGGTGATATTTTTTCCTTATTGAAATGAGTTTATGGGACTAGCTGGTGGCAGATATTGTCTTCATTGATTCAATTTTTCTGGTTTGTTTGTTGGTTTGTTTTATTGTTTTTAGGATTTTCTCCACACCTACCAGGGCCTCAAATGGAAGAGGGAAAAAGAATTGACATGTGCCACATCATAGGCTGCAGGCATCGCCTCTTTTAATCATCACAGTAACTCTAAGAGGCAGTGTTATTATTAAGCCAAATGTTTAGATGAGGAAATCTGTCTCAGAAAGAACAGTCACTTACTCAAGACTACAAGAGGACAGTGCCAATATTCAGTAACAATTGAATCTGACTCCAGTATTCCATTTTCTTCACTCTAATATCTTTCCCATCATAAAAGAATGGAGCATTATATGAATATAAAAATCTATTCATTAAGCTTTGCTGCGCCTTATACTATAGGCTTATTTACTTAAGATCAGTTCTTGAGCACATTTTTCCAGTCCTACTTTCTCTATACAAGCTTAAAAGCTCAAAACTCAATTTCCTAGCTTCCCTTGCAGCTAGGGGTAACATGTTATGTAATTCTGACCAATGCTGACCGATGAGACATACCTGGACTTCTGCTGTTCCATTCCTCTTGCCTGGAGGTGCAGCAACTATACTGTGACTAAGAGGCAACAAACTGGAGGCTGAAAGCATATACATCAAGGATGATGAAACAGAAAGATAGAAGAGAGTGGCTCCCAAATGGCATCGTTAAACAGCTGCCTCACCCTGGCGAGCATACTTCTCAACTTTTTCTTACTTAATGTCTTCAACCTCTAACTGGTTAAGTCAACATTTGTTGTGTTTTCTGTTAGTTTCAGCTGAACAGTCACCCATCGCCAAAGAAAATAATCCATTTTCAGTAAGGGGCATCTTTTGTAAGATAAAATGTTTCTATTGAAAGACTATATAAAAAGGACCATTTTATAGACCTTTCAAGTTTACAGAAAGTGTTCACAGGGAAAGATCAATATGCCAGGAGAAGGGAAAATAAATTTCACGGTAGAGGGAAAAATTGATCTGGACCTTTTAGAATGTAAAGAAAAGGTGGAGGCCCTTTTAGTAGGGCATACAGTTTGAGACAAGGTATCGGGGGAACACACGCAGTGAGTTCCATGGATAGTGACTTCAGCCATGCTGCTGAAATAAGTTTGGATAAATAAAGTGGGGGAGATTATACAGGGCTGGGAAGCCAGTGTTCAGAGCCTGATGATTACTATAAGAACAGTGGAGAGTTCCAACAGTAAGATGGCAGCCTTGTGTCAAAGTAGTATTTAACTATCCAATCACAGTGCATAAGACTAGCTGATACTGGAAGGTATTTGGAGTCTGGAGGACCAACAGAAAAGAACAGCAGTCTAGATTTGAAAGGATAAAGACTATGAAAAGAAAGAACTAGGGTAGGAAAATAATGAATAGAATATCAGGACATTGCCAAGAAAGATTCTCCAGGACTTAGGGAGAAAAATGATAAACTCTCAAAGGGAAGAGAATGGTTGAATGTTTTGAAAAATAACAAATAGTATGAGTGAAGAACTGGCTTTACAGGCAGTCACATCCAGGGCCATCCCAGCTTCTCATTTATACTGTAGGACTTTATGCCTCTATGAGTCTCAATATCTATAAAGTAGAAGAACTTAGGCCTGTCTTTTTGGACTGTTGTGTTAGAGATGACATATTTAATAATTGCTCAACAAATACCTTATATTAATACTTGCTATTATTATTAGCAAGTGAAAAAAGGAGAAGAGGTACCTTGTGTGTAGGAGCAATATTTTGCTGATGAGAATAATATTTTGGGATTTTGAACACTGATGTTAGGGCCCCAAACATTTTAAGGATAGCTTTGGAGATAATCACAATATTATACAGATTACAATGTTTTACCAAGCCCTGAAAGGCCATCATTATCATGTGTCTCTACAGATCCTAGCAAGAAAGACCAACATTCCTGCACTAAAATGATGTTCTGAACTCCTAAATGCTCTAAATTCTCAGCTACCCACAAAACTTACCCATTTCTATTTATACTCCACTTTAATACCTAATTCAGCTGTTCCCACTGTTCTGTGTGTGCATGTATTCTTTAAGGATCATGGTATGGAATATGTGGATGTGATATGATGTTATCACAGAGTCATCAGCTGTTCACTCTGTGATCTGCAGATTACATTTATTTTATTTATTTAAAAACCTGAATTTGATTTTATTGAATTTTATTTATTTAAAAACCTGAATTTGAGGCACTTGTGTTTCAGCACACAGGTGAGAAGAAAAAAAGAGAGAAAGGAGAGAGGGAAGCAAAAGGAAGATGCTTCCCATTGATGGCCTGAAGTTATAGAATATGGTGTTTCAGTGGCAAATGGTAGCCACCCTCTGTATGTAAGAATGGATGGCAAGTCATTTTCTTGAGTTGCACATTGAAAGGAAGCAGCTCACATTTTTTTTGAACATGAATGATATGCCAGACACCGTTCTAGTGATTCACCTACTTCAGCTCGTTTAACTTTGCTTGTACTTTATGGAAGGGATGGAATGGATTGATTCCATGGAATGATTCTTAGGAAGTGCAAAATATAAAATAAATAAAAGGAACATAGCCACTTGAAGAATGAATTCTGCACTGGCTGTTCCCTCTGCACAGAAGGCCCTTCTTACAATGCTGGGCACCCCTCCTGATAATGGTTTGGCTGCATCCCCATCCAAATCTCATTTTGAATTGTAGTTCCCTAATCCCCATGTGTTGTGGGAGGAACCTGATGGGAGGTAACTGAATCATGGGGCCAGTTACCCCATGCTGTTCTTGTGACAGTGAGTTCTCTTGAGATCTGATGGTTTTCTAAGGGGCCTTTCCCCTTTGCTCGGCACTTCTCCTTCCTGTCGCCTTGTGAAGAAGATGCCTTTCTTCCCCTTCACCTTCCACCATGATTGTAAGTTTCCTGAGGCTTTCCCAGCAATGCAGAACTGTGAGTCAATTAAACCTCTTTTCTTTTTAAAGTACCCAGTCCCAGGTATTTCTTTATAGCAGTGTGAGAATGGACTAATACACCTCCCTTCACTTAATCCCAACACAAATGTTTTTTCCTCAGGGAAGACTTCCCTGATCAGTCCCTGCCCCACTCTTTCTTTCCTTACCTGCTTTGCTTTTTTTCAGAAAGTGCTAATATTTTATTCTATTGCATGTGTTTACTTGCTTATTACCTGTCTTTTCCATTCAATGTAAGCTTCAAAAGCTTGGAGCTTGGTCTGTTGTGCTCATCTCTGTATCCCCAGTACCCTGAATATTACTGGGCATACAGCAAGTTCTAAACTCATATTTTAAGAAGTACACCAAACCCCCAAAGATACTAAAAATCCATCTTCCATTTTCAGAAGACAACATTTCCCAAACTGTTTCAGTCCCTAGACCCAGATAATGTCACCCTGGAAGCAAAAAAGAAGTTAAAAAAAAAAAAAAAAGGCAAAGGGCTGTTACTGAGTGTCCATCCTGATGACCTCAAAGCCACCCGCTGCCCTCCATCAACCAAAGTGCTTAGCAGGAGAGGTGCCCAGAAATACACTCCAGCTTTAATTCCTTCCCTATGGATGCTTGGCAACTGGAACCCCACTATTTTTCCTTTCCAAATAGACTTTATACAGTTGACACTTGCTCAAAAGGCCTTTGCCTGCTGTTCTATAATAAATAACCGATTACCTGATCTGAGGTAATGTGGGCCCTGATTAAGGCTAATGAAGACATGGTGGCTGCAGTCCTGTTTGCAATGCACAAAACCATTAGGGAAGATTAATCACCTTTTAACCAGCACTTTTGTATTTTGGCTCCAAGTAGCTGAAGAAGAGAGAGAAGCATCCATCACCTCATCCAAGCAACACCAAATGCTGCTGCAACCAATCCATCAGGGAGGCATGGACTGATTGCAGCAGGGGAGTGTGGCAAAGAAAATGCAAGGATGTTCAGACAAATATGGAAGCAAACATCTATGTGGTGGTAGAATAGTGTGAAGTGCTACAAAAGTTATGAAATGATGGATTTTCTGGCTTCGTGTGTGTTCCCAATAATATGACACTAGAAATCTTGCTTTTGACCTGTCAGTGGACCATTTCCCCAGCCTTTCTATTTAGATATAAAACCTTAGAAGACAAAAGCAATGCTTTTTTCAGCTGTGTATTTTGGAAGTGACTATTACAGAACCTAACACACCTAGGAGACCAATTTAAAAAAAAGAATTGGGAAGCATTTATTAAATTCCTATTTGCACATGGTACATTGTACTAGCTCATGTTCTCTAGCTCCTATTTCTTTCTTCCAAAAGCTTGCAGTAAACCTGGAAAAGAATTTTATGGCAGTATCTACTGCCCTACTTTTAAATCTCCTTAAAAATGTATTAAACAATTGTTTAGCTGGAATATATAGGACTTGACCTATTCTGAGTTCACAATATTTCCGAAGTTAACTTCAAAAAAGCACCCTATAGTAATAAAAGAAGAAAAACCAACAACTTCACATAACATATATTTTTGTGCAATTGCAGTTCAATGTCTTGAACAGCTGTTGCTTGCCAAAACACACAAAGAACCAAGAACAGCTGCAGGTCATGCACCACCACTGGGATTGTTGTGAGTTTACTGTCTTGCCCCTGAGTTTTAAATCACCCAACACTATGCCACAACTTGGGCTGGCACTGTTGACCTTCACAGCCTGGCAGATGATGTCACCACCATCAATACATTCTTCACTCATTGTATGCCATAGATTTGAACAAATGCATAATCATGTTTGAAATAAAGACCCTTTATAAGAGTTCTATTGTGTGATGCTTCCGGTGTTTAGGCACTGCCAAGCCAATTTTCTAATTAGTCACATAACCTTGCATTTCAGAATTAAAAAACCACAGTTTGGGCCACTTCTGATGGTACTTATTACATTCAATCTAGTATTAGAGCAAATTGCACACTCCCATCCTCTCCACTAGATTGTGAGCTCTTGAAGCAGGGCTGAATCACACTCATCCATAGATCCCCTGAAGTGCCTGGCACTCTCCAAGTAAGTAGAGGCACTTAATAAACATCAGTAGAATTGGATTTTTTGAAGAGACCATACATCAAAAGAAGTAAAATGAAATTAATTTAATTGAAGCTTATTAAAATGCACTTTCTCCTCTCCCTTCACTGCAAAGGAAATTCAAGCCAGCATGAAGCTGAAGAGCATCTTCCATATCAAAACCAGGCTGAAGAGTATTGTTCTGCTGGCTCTTGCTGTAGCTAGGTGACATGATGATGTTTAAGGTCCCAGACCCGCACCTGCAACCTCAAAGTTTACCTTAACAAGCCAGGCGACCCTGAGCAAATTCCTTAATATCAATACATTTCAGTTTCCCCATCAGTCAGCTTACAGTATGGTTGTAAGGATTTTCAATATGATAACATAGGTATCAAGTGTCCAACATAGTCCCTGGATCACAGTGAGCATATGTCTATAAAAGTAACCAACCACACCTGCTGCTAGAAATAACTGCCACTGTGGTATTACCTGAATCTAAACTGCACAGTATTAAATAGTACTGTGTAAAGATCACACATCTAAACTGGAAACTCATTAATTAAAGAAAGAAAAGACTATCACCCTCCATAATTGAGGTGATTGGTTATGAATTGGCAAAGATGTAGAGTGGTGTGTGTGTGTGTGTGTGTGTGTGTGTGTGTGTAAAATGCAAGCACAGGCAGAGCGCATTTCATAAACAGAGATTGGTTCATTGGTGTGAACTTAGGAAACCCTGCAATATGGACAATGTGGTTAGGGGTTGTTATTTGTACTAAATGGAGTACATGACTTACTTTCCCCAAGATCAAAGAGAACAAACTTTGTTTTTTAAATGTTCCTTGATGGGTTTCTTTTCTTATTCATTCTAGCTTAAACTTCCACCCCTCTAATCAAGCTCACCACCCTGACCCGCAGTCTCAGCTGCAAACTCTGCCATATATTTAATTAGAAACCTTGAAGTCGGCCAGGCGTGGTGGCTCACACCTGTAATCCCAGCACTTTGGGAGGCAGAGGCAGGTGGATCACCTGAGGTTGAGAATTCAAGACCAGCCTGACCAACAAGGAGAAACCCCATCTCTATTAAAAAAAAAAAAATAGCCAGGCGTGGTGGCACATGCCTGTAATCCCAGCTACTTGGGAGGCTGAGGCAGGAGAATCGCTTGAACCTGGGAAGCGGAGGTTGCGGTGAGACAAGATCGAGCCATTGCACTCCAGCCTAGGCAACAAGAGCGGAAATCCATCTAGAAGGGAAGGGAAGGGGAGGGGAGGGGAGGGGAGGGGAGGGGAGGGGAGGGGAGGGGAGGGGAGGGGAGGGGAGGGGAGGGGAGGGGAGGGAAGGGAAGGGAAGGGAAGGGAAGGGAAGGGAAGGGAAGGGAAGGGAAGGGAAGGGAAGGGAAGGGAAAGGAAAAGAAAGCAACCTTGAAGCCATCCCTAGCCTTATCCATATCCAGTATTTCCCTCTTTACCCTGCATGTGGTGGTATCACTTCTTTTCTTAAGACCAAACCATCAGTTCCTGCCTTCTTCAAGACCATGCTGTCAGTTATTATCTCTCTCCTAAATTTTTAACTTTTCTTTTTTTCTCTACCAGACACATAACCAAGTCTTTCAGATGAAAGTCTAACTCCCCTTTCAATCCATTTCTCTCTCTGGTTACAGTCCTGTCTTGGTTTCCCTCATTGGATTACTCAGGGCATCCCCAAGTCTGCTGTTCTCACCAATCCACTGTCATTGGTCTTGCTCTCTTACTTACTCAATCCAGGAAGTGTTCTCTGCAGTTGCCCTCCCAGCCCTCTCAACTGCATTTGAAACTGAGGATTACTTTCCTCCTTGCAAAACTCCACTCCATGGGCCTCTGTGTCACTAGGATGCTGTAATTCTTCTACACCTTTTGGAGTTTCCTTTCCTGTACCTATCAAGTGCATTGCTTCCACCCGAGCACGGACATAATTCTTTTCCTCACTTCATTCAATCTCTATTCAAGTGCACCTTTCTCCCAGAAGTCTTCCTCAATTACATTATCCCTGGCCCTTTTCTTTCTCTCCTTACCCTGCTTTATTTGTCTTCATAGCCCTTATCACTATCTTTCATGATATAATATGTTTATTTATTGACTATCTCTCTCACTGAAAGCAAGAAGTCAGATGCTGTTATTTGGAAAGATACATAATACTTGAATTTACAATCTAGAGCATGGCATAAGATATATGCAAATAATAAGAGCAGTTGCCTTTAATGGAGCCCTCAATAAGCACCAGGTGTTGGAATAGGCATCTTCTATGCATATCCTCATCTCACCCTCTAGACCAGTCATCCCAACACAGGAGTTTATCAACATCACGAGGAAACTCAAGATCAAAGGGTCACTGACCATCACTGAGTAGCACAGTAGGACTTGAACCAAGGTACTGTCTCCAAAGTGCTTGTCCCTACATCATCTGTACTGAATGAATGGGAATAGTAATGAGTCATGCTAGATATCAGAAAAGAAAAAAACGTTTCCAGCTTTGGTAGACAGAGAAAGCCTTTACTGAGTAAGAAGATAAAAATTCAAGTAGTCTTGAAGGATGAATAAGTAGAGAAGGATAATAAGTAGAGAAAAGGCAGGGAAACAGATGTTTAATCAGCAGCTGTAATTCCTGAAAGCCAGGGCAGGGGTGCTCAGTAACTTGGAAGTACCTAGATATCTTTTTCAGCCTTGATTTAGATAAAGATAGTTTTGTTTCTTAAAAGGACAATTTATTCTCTTGGAGGCAAATATTGAGACACTAGCAATAGGTTTATTGTACTACTTTTAAAAACCTAAGACAGAAAAGAGAAAAAGAATCATAGAAGTCAGCATGAATGTATTTGCTATCTATTAATTATTGATTTTGCTTATTCATTCTGCATATATTTATTAGGGGCCTACTCTGTAAAGGAGAGTGAGAGAGGAAGATGAATAAAACACTGTCCAGAGGAGCCCATAATCCTGTAGCAATAAAACAGATGAGAATAAAAAGATCATAATGGTAAAATTCTTATCATAGAGATGCAAATTAAGTCCTCTAGGATCTCAGAAAGTGGAGAAATCACTTCCTCCAATGCATGTAGAAGTGGCAGGGCTATGATGGTTAAGGGAAAGTAGTGAGGTCAGAGAAAAACCCAGTTTTCCCATCAAAGGTTCCTTGAGTTTCTTGGATTTTTTTTTATTGTTTTCATTTATAACTTTCACTCTTCTTGCTCTCTCTCTTTTTTTTTTTTTTTTTTTTTTTTTTTTTTTTTTTTGAGACAGAGTTTTGCTCTTGTCACCCAGGCTGGAGTGCCGTGGCATGATCTTGGCTCACTACAACCTTCGTCTCCCAGGTTCAAGCAACTGTTCTGCCTCAGCCTCCCGAGTAGCTGGGATTTCAGGTGCCTACCACCATGCACAGCTAATTTTTGTATTTTTAGTAGAGATGGGGTTTCACCATGTTAGCCAGGCTGGTCTTGAACTCCTGACCTCAGGTGATCCTCCCGCCTCAGCCTCCCAAAGTGCGAGGATTACAGTCATGAGCCACCATGCCTGGCCCCTTTTTCTCTATTTACCAAACATTTTCACTATAAAAGGTGACCACCAGAGGGTCATCAAAGGTTCCCTTTGATAAGGACTCCTGATTTTCTCAGTTCTTTGTTACAGAAAAACATGCACAGATTTGCCGTGTGTGGTGTCAAAATCATTTCACTAGATTCTGACACGAAAGGCCCACAGACTGGGTTTCAGGTGCTTCTGTGGAGAGAAGTTTCAGTTCCTTCTATCCTTTCCCTGCAGACATCAATCCCCAAAGTCTTTGCCCATTGTTAACAGAGAACCTGCCATGAAAACTATATCTCCCTCATTATATATATAGCATAGAATGTGCAAGCTGACCCGACTACGGTTATAATTTGCTCCAGTAATGCTTGGAGTATTGTGATTGACCTTAGTCCTAGGTAGAGTCTGAATGTTTCTTGTCTAGAGTGACTTTCCCCATCTCCTCTCCAAGCCACTTGAATAACCTCCCTAACTCCAAGAACAGGATTAGCAGAGTATGAGTCCCAGGATGGGGTCCAATGTATAAAGTTGATAACGGCATGGGGAGGAGGAGGGAATGGATGAGATGAAAAACTATGAGGGAGGGGTAGATGAGGCAGGATAATTCTTATCTAGGATGAGTCTTTCTAAGTGAATGGAGCTATTACGTATTTTGTGGTAACCCCACAGCATCATGAACAGAACCAGTTGCTTGGCAGGGCTAGAAAAGTTCTTGTAGAAAGGGGTAGATGGGCACACACAGCCAGTGATCCGTGGGGCGATCTGCACAAGGAGGGCAGTGGTCATTGGATCCACTCAATTCATAGTTAGCCAATGTATGGGGTCATCTGCTCGCCTATATTCCCCAAAGGGATCAACACTAACCTTAAGAGTCAAGCAGCTGTGGACAGAAATTGACATTGCTTTGCATTTCATTCATTCCACAAATATTTGAGGATCACTGGGCTAAGTGCCAGGTTTATACTAATGGACAGATGGAATGTCTATCACAGGGTTTACTGCTGTCTGCCCACGAGCCTTTTCCCCATTCTCTCCTCCAAATGGTCCTGATACTCTGGAGTCTACTCTGTGGTTCCAAGGCCATTTTCTCCTTGTGTTTACTCTCTGCAGTCAGGCTTACTGTTGTTGACAGTATTCTCTCTTGACGTTACAGTTCATAGACCCAGGAGCCTTGGCTGGAGCAGGGAGAGCTTGGCGAGTAAGAAGAAATGCTATTAATTATAGAAAGGTTAAAACATTTGCTCAGGGTCATTCAGTTAGACAACAGCAGAGTTAAATGAAAACTCCCCAAATCCCCTAGATTAGGTTAAATCCTCCTGCTCTATGTACCTGTAGCATCTGGAATCTCTTCTTTTGTAACATTCATCACTCTTGTAGCTATTGATTTAGTGCCTGTTTCTCCACCAGATCACAGGCTCTACTAGAGCTGGGACCATGTCTATCGTTACCACCGTGCTATCCCTTGCATCTAGCACACTTTGAGTATAAACTAGGTGGATAAAAATATTTGTTGAATTTAAGTTTTCAGTCACCTTGAAAATTCAAATTTACTGTGTAAGAGGTTTCCTAAATCTAAAACGATTTCCCTTGCACAAGATGCTTTTTTTGAGCCTGGAGATCAGGCATTTCTGCATAAAAAGGGCCTAAGACTTAAGGGAGATTTTAGGGAGAAGAAAACCTTCTAAACCAAACCAAAAACAAATTGAGCCAGAAGTGTAGAAAAGGATGGCCCAGGTGTACAATAAAAAGTGAACCTTGTGGACTTAGAGGTCCCAGGTGTATAATAACATAAACATTTCCTTCCCACTGCACAAAGCTGCTTATGTCAGGTCCTGCCACTTCACAGAAAGCCCTCTCAGCTTGTGGCTGCTACATCAGGCAGAAAGAGCAAATAAAGGGCACAAGGGGCCATGGACAAGGTGAGAAGGGAAAGACACTTGCTTTGGAAAGTCACCAGCAGCCAAGAAAAACGGCCCTTTCAGTCCTGTTCCTACACACTGGGAAGGCACTTTAGAGTGCCCTTTAAGAGAAAAGAGCAGAGGGCCTTTAGGATGTTGTGGACAAGGCAGCCAATCGTACTAGATAAGCAACAAATCTTGAGGTTGGATAGAATTCACATTCTGCCAGAGAATTCAACAGAACCATAAGGAAACATCTCCCTGCTGTAGGGTATCATTTACTGGTGTTGGACTACTGTGTTTAAACGTGCTTAAGCAGCCCACATCACCAGACAATGCCACACCCCTTTGGGTAGAAGACAGGGTCTTTCTGTGTCATAATTTCAAGTGTCATTCTTCTTGAGATGAGCCAGACCTTAAAACAGAAATTAAGGACTTGGGAGGCGGGCCTTAGAATGGAGAAAAGTCCTTCTCTGGATTTTGCTCTCTTTACTTTGGGTTGGGAGTTCTACTCATGCTCAAGAATCTTAAGGCAAAGCCAGCCTCTGACTTTAAGGAAGCCCTGTAGAGATCCACTAGAGAGAACCAAGACCCATGGGTTGTCTGTCTGAGCAGCCATAGCTAGCAGCCAATGTCCCTTCCTTCCATGATTCCTAATCTATCAGAGGAGCCTTACACACTGCCATCTTTCTCAGCCGTGGTTTGCAGAATTGAAAATGATCTATCACCCACAGCTGGGTCAGAGCAGCAGGGAGGGCTTGGATGTAAGAAGAAATCCTGTTAATTATAGAAAGGTTAAACCGTTTGCTCAGGGTCATTCAGTTACGCAATTGTAGAGGTAAACAAACCCCCCACCAAACACTGCAAAAATGGTGTCTTTGGCAGTTGGTGCACCGGTGACAACAGAGAAGGAGATTCTCAGGGATATTAAGTAGAGGTCCAGAGATTGATTCAAGATGGCTGACTAGATGCAGCCAAGAGGAACATCTGTCACCAAGAGATGGGGACATTGCGAAGACAGGCGCACTCTGAGCAAATCTCAGAGGGAAGGCATTGACAGTGGATGTGGGAAGACACAGGTGCTGGGCTGACAGAGGGATGGCTGGGAACTCTGCATGGGATTACCATGCACCAGGACTCATTCCTGGTCCCCAGTGACTCCTGGAAAAGCGAACTTAAATGAGTTGACTGAACCTACCTTATACCACAATCAAGCCCCCAAGGGCATCAAAGAAGATGAAAGCAACAAAAATCCATCCAAGGGACAGCAACTTCAAAGATTGAAGGAACATCCACCTACACAAATGAGAAAGAACCTTCACAAGAACTCTGGAAACTCAACAAGCCAGAGTATTTTCTTACCTCCAAACAACTGCACTAGCTCCCCACCAATGGTTGTGGCAGTTTCTCAAAGAACTTAAAACAGAATTACTATTCCAGCCAGCAATCCCATTATTGGATATATACTGAAAGAAATATAAATTATTCTACCATGAAGACACATGCACACATACATTCATTGCAGCACTATTCACAATAGCAAAGACATGGAATCAACCTAAATGCCCATCAATAGTAGACTGGATAAAGAAAATGTGATACATATATGCCATGGAATACTACGCAGCCATAAAAAGAATGAGATCATGTCTGCAGCAACATGAATGGAGTTAGAGGCTATTATGCTAAGTGAACTAACACAAGAAAAGAAAACCCAATACTGCATGTTCTCACTTAAAAAATGGGAGCTAAGCATTGAGTACATAGAGATACAAAGAAGGGAATGACAGGAACTATGGCTTTCTTGAGGGTGGAGGTTGGGAGGAGGGTGAGGATTGAAAAGCTATTGGGTACTATGTTTATTATCTGGCTAACAAAATAATCTGTATGCCAAATCCCTGTGACACGCAATTTACCTAAGTAAGAAACCTGCACATGTACCCCTGAACCTAAAATAAAAGTTTAAAAAAAGAGAGGTCCCACTGCTCCTTGCCATACAGAGGTTTTTTACTTCTCAGGCCACTTTAGTGAATGATGGTGCCAACCATCTTTGATTCTGACTAAGACTTCATACAAAGTCTTAGAGAAGAACCTTTGATTCAGTGTCCTTTGAGAAGTCCAGGTGTTGTAAACCCCATGACAGTAGGGAAGATTTTTGTTTTGTTTCCCATTTTATCTCTGTTGCCCAATACAGACAGCACTTACCATGCAACAGGAATTTTATAACTAGCTGATGAACAAACTCATAAATGAATCTTATATTTTGCCTAATATATCAGTAAAAATAATAGTTATGAATGAATGTGTGAAAACCAACATTCACTTTAGATCTATAAGCCACGTAAAGTGGCTACTTATAGATTGTCATGGGTCTGGTGATTAACAAAGTGTTGATTTCAAAAAATAGGCAAATTCTGTAAATATAATAATTACCTGAATTATTAAAGGGAAAGCAAAGTCAGTCTAATAAAGACCCTGACTTAGCATTTCATAATCAACAAGGTGACTGGTAAAATCTAATATGAAGAGAAATGCATTCAGGATTGCAAAGACAAAAGCTTCTCTGGGAGAAGTTAATAACCCCTGTGAGGGCATTGTCTACCCACAGAAAGTAAAGTGGGCTGTTACTGGGATATTGTTTTTGTTGTAGCAGGCACTGAAAACCAATATCATGTAAGTAGTTTTGGTGCACATAGAATGAGGCATAAAATTGGCCTGCTTTAAATCTTGCCACTCCAACAAAGAAAACCAGAGATAGATACACATAGAATAAATTCACAATGGTTACAGTCTAAGGTGTAAGTCATTATTATATTCATGCAGGAAAGACATTTTGACCTTCTGTAAGATAACATTTTAATGTGGGAAGAATTCACAAGCAGTGATGGGCTTTAAGCAATTCCAGAACCCTTTCTGAATTGCTGGAATTTCACTTACATATACTTAGTAAATGAATTTCATACAGGCAAAGCTGAAAAGTCCCATAGCTAAATCTGTACCACCATGCCTCCTACTTCATACATACACATACACCATGTGTTTCGCTACCACCTTCAAATACAGCAAGTCAGGCAGAGAATGCAGGACTCAGAGTTAGTGTCAAAAAACATTACTATAAATTTCTGCTTGCAAAATGCTGAAGAAAATATGCTTAGCAGGGTTAAATGAGTATGGTAGCAGAACTAAACCCTTCCAAGGCCTCTCTGTCCACGGTTTGATGGGGGGAAATGTTGAAAGTGACAAGCAATCCTTAATTATACCAAGGATCTCATCTGCTATTGTATAATCACTTCCTCGGTCGCATGGAAAGCTCCAGAAGGAAAGTCAAGACTTAAAATTCCCACAAGGAAAGACCATGATAGATGGTCAGTCTGCACAGATTCTGGATCCAGATGGTCTTCTGGGGAAACACACCTGTGTCTTCTGGAAAGTGGAAGTGAATGGCATGCCTTCTTAGAGGGTTACGTGGGGAGCAAGTGACAGCCTTCTTCAAAGTCTCTCCTATACCTTCTAGAAAATAGATCATGCTCAATTTAGTACTCAAAGTCCCTGATTCTGGCTTCTACCTATGGCCCCAATTTCCCACTCTTTCCACATATGCATTATTATGCTCTAGATTACTGGACTTCTGCAATTCTCCATAATCACCATGGGCCTAAAGCTTTTCTACATTCTACTATTTCTGCCTCTTTCCTTTCCTCTCTTCTCAGTCTAGTCATTCTTCTAGACTCATTTTACCTTTGTCTTATTAGCTGTTCCATCTTAAATGTCCACTTAATGTTCTTCCAGGCCACCCCACTCACTTCAGTAATCTGTGCCAACGTGACCTTGGATACACTATCTTTCAGCCATCTCTTAATCTTTGTCTGTAGGCTCCTTAAGGGATTTAATATATGTTTCACATCACCCTGCACCTGCTCAGCACATAGTAGGTATTCAGAAGTAGGTATAAATAAATATTATTTCATGGAAAAGCCATTTAGTGAATTTTTCTATCACTTACTACTATCTCAGGTTATAATTTTAGAAAATTCCTTCTTGATGACAGGAATGTCTTCACAACAGTCAACAAATAAAATTCTTGCATGGTAATGGAATGAGTCAAATCAGTGTACATTTGTAGAATGACTGATCAGTTTTATTGAATTTGGAATAATGTTATTTATTCTCCCATCGAACTGCTTCCTTATGACCCCAGTCCTCTTTGATGTAAACATGTTTAAAACATTGTTCCTTATTGTTTTTGTCCACACTGATGTTAAGGTGTTAAGAAAATGACATGTTGGGCTGTGTATACATTCCGGGGCGATCTCATAGCCAGTGTGCTTAATATGAACACCCAAATGACATGGTTTTAGTCACTTCCTATGACTTGCCCCGCTCTGTAGGAGGAAAGACTGTTGTAAGTGTAGCCTGTGGAGACATGCTGAGAAGATAACTCACTAGTTCCATTTATTGATGCTTTTTTCCAAAATAAGTGAATACAGTTTATTGCAAGAAGGTTGAAAAAGGAGTGTCCAAAATTTTCAAATAAGTTTAATTATCTTTGTTATCAACATGGATAATGATAGAGAAAACCCAAACTGAACAAACTCAACTGACATAGTCCTCTTAATCAGTCTTGAATTGTTTTTTTTTTTTTTTTTTCCTGGACCAACATCTAGGTATGGGGTGGGGTTGGGGGGAGGTGGGTTGGGGGGAGGTGGGGGGGCGGGGAAATCCAGCCCATTAAAAGGAACCTGTGAGACCAAAGCGCCACCTAGTGGGCAAAATAGAAAACAATCACTTTTACACCAGATCTTTTTAAACTCAACAGACAAATGTTTGCTTGGATCTCCAGTCTCTCAGTGTCTAGTGAATTTACAAACTCCCCTTTTAAATTTATGCTAAAAATTAATTTCAGACGTACAAAGAAAGAACAAACAACAACTCCTTTTATTATCCTCCAAACCTGTTAATACAAACACTTGAGACCTCTACGTAAATAGAGACGTGTGGGTTGCGCACCATCTGGGTGCAATGCTGTTTGCCAAGTATCCTCTTATAGTAACTAGCATCGCCATGACTAGAGTTCCTGACCATCTAGACGTTCTCTGGACTTTGTCTAATCCCTCTCTGGGAAGATGGTATGGTCACAATTCTTTTTTTGTGCCACAGCATAAGGAAAGATAATATGGCAGAAAGGTCAAGGGGATGGGCTTCTAACAGACAAACCTGGATGTGAATTCCAGCTTCCTACTTCCTCGCTTTGTGGTGTGTGGGCCAGTTACCTCAATTCTTACATTCCAGTTTCCTTCACTGTTATTAAAGGGGCAATAATATCTACTTGTTTGGGTAATGATAATAGCTGCATAAAGATTGATATAAAAATCAAACCACAGAATATAAACAACCCATCATTGTAGCTAAAATTAGAAAATATTCCATAAGCATTTCTTATAAATTTTGTTATTATACTTATTCTCTTTAATGTCTAACTGTGTCAATAAAGGCAGAACAAAATCCATGAAATAGAATTCCACTAGGATCGATATACCCTCCTCTTTTGGGTTGTGAAATTCTTTAGTCACCTGATATATTTCAGTGAAAAACCTTTCAGATTTTGTTATCAGCCTAGGTATGAGTTACACTCATATGGATGCTGGATTAATTCCTGCAAGGATATTATGTATGATATGCAGATAGATATAGCCCAAATGATGGTTAGTTGGGTGGGTAGGTGGGTAGACTGGTGGTTGGATGGTTGGTTTATGGCACAAAACCCACCCCTGAGCTAACATAGAAAGAGATGGCAATTATATACTCAAGTCACTGTACCAAAATCTACAGTGATGTGCTTCCTGAATTTCATTTTCTCTAATTGGATTTAGAGACTACCTTGGACCAATCAAGCAATCTACTACAACATAGGCTAAAAAATGAAATATTTAAATGGATCCAGCTAAATGAAGTATTGAAGGAGCTGATATAAATTCTGAAGTCTTATTTTTTGTTTTCTAAATTGCCTAATACTGATAATAGTTGTTCAATGATATGTATGTATCAGAGCCCTTATTCTTTCATTATACAAGCATAAGGAATCTATGTATTTGAATTAGAGGAAGAAAAGCATATTCTCTATATTCTTCAAAAGAAAAGGTGACAACACAGGAATACCTTATAGTCCCACAGTATTTGCTGAATTATTTCGTGATCTTGCAAAAGAAGCCTTTATTTTACTCCAAGGCTGAAGGAAGTGGACCAACCACAGGCATTTGTAACCGAGAGAGATGGTTGAACTGGTCACCTGTCTGCAGAAATTATTCATAGAGGAGAAAATGGGCAACAGAGACTGAAGGATTCTTATTTTTTAAAATAACTCAAACTACCCTTTTCTGTTTATAAGACGGGTTTCAATCACAGCAGCCAAAAATGGGAAAAAGGACAGAATTTTACCACAGTTCTCACTGGAAATGGATGATATGAAATACCCCTGTCTGATTATGATGGATGATCCTTGCTCTGTATATTCTGGAAAATGAGAAAACTCCCCCACAGCACCTCCCTATAGACTTGAGGAAAAGGAGGGCTCTCTTCTGCCCAAACCTGACAACTGGATTTAATCATGCATAGAAGTAAGGAGTTCCTGTGGTTTAGCATCGCACTGACTCTCAACCGTCAGTACCAATGGCAATGATTTTACTTGATCCCTGGATTCTCAGTAAAGCTAACCAAGAAGCAAAATATCTTGTTTTTAAGTACACCTTTGACCATATTTATAATCCAAGTCTGCATGTCAGATTACCATTTCTTTTTTTCTAGAATTTATTTCTCTGCCCACGTGGCTCTCAAAACCAATATCATGAAGAATGGTGTTGTTCCAGATATTGATGATTCTCCCCTAACTCTTACAAAGAGTTATGAACCAGTATTTAATAAGCACTTAAAACATTCATACTCAATAGGTGTTTAAAACATGGAGAAAAGAATGCTTTTCCAGTAATAAGCTGGAAGGTCTAATGAGGAAACACGGGAGACCTGAACAGGGCAGGACTATCTCACGGTTAGGTCCTCAAATCTCTTCCCGGCAAACATCATTACTTAAACCATCTAACTTGAAGAGCAACAGAAAAAAAATTCAGGCCAGGCGTGGTGGCTCACGTCTTTAATCCTAGCACTTTGGGAGGCCAAGGCGGGTGGATCATGAGGTCAGGAGTTCAAGACCAGCCTGGCCAAGATGGTGAAACCCCATCTCTACTAAAAATACAAAAATTAGCCAGGTGTGGTGGTGGGCGCCTATAATCCCAGCTACTCGGGAGGCTGAGGCAGGAGAATCAGTTTAACCCAAGGGGTGGAGGTTGCAGGAAGCTGAGATTACATCACTTCACTCCTGCCTAGGCAAAAGAGCGAAACTCTGTCAAAAAAAAAAAAAAAAAGCAAAGAGAAAAAAAGAAAAGAAAAAAAATCAGATTCATTGGGGTCATCTGAATGTCAACCCCAGGAATTTTATTTTGTACACAACTATTTTTTTTGCAGGGAGAGAGTAGGAGGAAACTTACGCTGGCAAGCTCAAAGTAATTATACTTTTTCTTTAAAAAATAAATCTATAACTCTTAAGTTGGGTAGTAGACATATGACTATTTCATTATTCTTGTACATTGCACATATTAACATATAGTACTTGTCTGTGTTCAATAATAAAAACTTTAAAAAGCAAAAAAGTAAGTTATAGTATTCAGCAAATGTGGCAAAATGTTGACGCTTGTTAAGAGTGGTGAGTACAAGGATGTTTAACATTTTCTGTCCTTTATGTTTGCTTGAAATTTTTCAAAACTTTAAAATTGAATTGGGCTTTTAAAAAAGTAATGTGCTGCTGCTTTTTGTCCTAAATTGATTTGGGGCGACAAGGTTTAACAGAGTTGATTTGTAGAAATGGTTTTCTAATTTCTCAAATGGAGATAGCTTTTATCTTAAGCCCCCCCAAAATACCGAATAACCCCTTCTTATGTGGATATCTAAACAGTTTACAACACAGCGGTAGGGTTTACTTCCCACATGGGAAAACAAAGTCACAGAGAATTGGAGTCACCTTGGGCTGTCCTGCTTGAGCCACTTGACAGAGCTTAAACCTTCTAAGCCACAGAACCAGAAAATCATAGGATTAAGAGGTAAGTAGTAGTCAACCTTGTACCTACCTTCTCAGGGGTGGTAAATAACCATGATTTATAAGTTTCTCCCCCTTAACTCTGTAATCAACACATTTTTCTGCTTTTTTTTTTTTTTTTTTTTTTTGAGATGGAGTCTAGCTCTGTCATCCAGGCTGGAGAGCAGTGGCATGATCTCGGCTCACTGCAAGCTCTGCCTCCCGGGTTCACGCCATTCTTCTGCCTCAGCCTCCCAAGTAGCTGGGACTATAGATGCCCACCACCACACCTGGCTAATTTTCTTTATTTTTTAGTAGAGACGGGGTTTCACCGTGTTAGCCAGGATGGTCTCGATCTCCTGACCGTGTGATCTGCCTGCCTTGGCCTCCCAAAGTGCTGGAATTGCAGGTGTGAGCCACCACGCCCAGACTTTTTGTTTTTTTTTGTTTGTTTGTTTGGTTGGTTGATTGCTTTCTATTGCCTTTAAAAAAAAAAAGTTCATGACTTTTTTTTTTCAGAGACAATTCTAGGTATGTAACATGGCTGAACTGTCCCTAACATCACTACACATGAGGCTTCTCTTCAATACTAAAAGTTGACAGAAACGACAACCCTCATCATCAACTGCAATCAACAATGCAGCGAAGTGGAGCTACGTGTTTTAATGTGCATGCCATGAACAAAAGGGTTAGAATACAGAGCAGGTGTACGTATTGTAGATGCTTGGTTAATTCTCACTCTGAATTTAAACAAAACCACCAAAATATTTGATACACCTGATGTCTTTGCCACATGAACTTCTTTGACACAAATTCTGTAAGTTTACACAATAAAAGTATCCAAAGTTTCTTCTGTTACGTGAGTGTGTTGGGGGGTGGGAGTGGTTATCTACACACTCTAAACATTCAGAACATGTCCTTTTAAAAAAGAAATGCTGCACATATATCAAATTGACGCAGAAAATAACAGTTTTGAATACCTCAAGCATTTCAGTTTAGCAGTAGTGAGTTTGAGCAAGAATCAGAGCCCTGTAGTACTTCATTTAGCTAGAAGTCTGGAGATGGGGCACAGTAGCAGAACTTAGCTGATGGAATTTTATCTACATCAGGGAAAAAATGAACTTGGAATGAACTTGTTCCTAGCCACACACAACCAAGTTTATTAAAATTATAATCAATCAGGGAGACCATAACAGTTCATTCCACTGGAAATCATAGAATAAATATGATATTATATTATTAAGCTATTCTAGCCATTTTTAATGGTCACATTTTTTAATGGATAGAATAATATGTGCTGTCTGGATAATAGAAAAAGAGGCTCTAATATAAGTGGATTATTTTAACTTAAAAACATCTTTAATTGTAAAAACAAAAAAAAAGCTAAGGCTATAAAGGAATAATAATCAAATCTTATAAAGTTAAAAATGGAGTAAATTTCTTAAATGTTTGCCATTTCACCAGTTCTTTGACTACTATACTTTGACTACTATAATTGGCTGTGCCCATGTGTATGTAGCAGCTTATATTCTATTTTTAAAGTTGAGGCTAACCCTAAAATTACCAGTACTGACACTTTAGTTCATGCTTTTGGGGTTTTTGTTTGTTTGTTTGTTTGTTTGTTTTTTGCCATTTACCACACCTATTTTCAAGAGCCTCCTAATAGCTTTCTTGATTTTGCTCATTCTTCCCCAAAATATTCATTGAATCTGCACTATATATCAGACATTGCACTAGGGTCTGTTTATGCAGCCACGTGTTGTCTGCTCTCAGAAAGGCTTACAATCTTCTCTCAACAAAGCTTACTATTTTCTCTCAACCTGCTTCTCACACTCTGCCAGGAGGAATCTTTCTAAGGCATATCTTTGGGCATA
This sequence comes from Homo sapiens, assembly GCF_000001405.40. Classification (NCBI taxonomy): domain Eukaryota; kingdom Metazoa; phylum Chordata; class Mammalia; order Primates; family Hominidae; genus Homo; species Homo sapiens. The sequence goes on along the minus strand of NC_000014.9, from coordinate 79,006,080 downwards.
TCACACACTTGCTCAAAAACTCCCAGTGGCTCATTTCCTGCAAATCCTATGTAGGTTTGATACAGAGACCGGGAATATAAAAATAAACGAGGCATTGTACCTACCCTGTAGAACTCACAGTTGACAATGAGCCAGAAAAATTAACAAATATGTGTAAGATCAGTGCTACAATGATGAAATATTTAGTGAAAGAAAGGAAAGAGAGTAAGAAACCCACTCGTTTTTTTTGAGGACCGACACTGTTCTAAGAAATGTACAAGTAAAATAATCACATAGTCCTGGTTCAAATTAGAAAAAAAAAGTCACACACAGGTAAACATGTATAAACATGTAAACACCACACAAATATTCAGTACAAGGCCCATTGAACATATCTAGATGAACAAGGTAAGGAAGGTAAGCCCAAATCAATAAAGTTTAGGGCACGT